>NC_000015.10:20729746-21029746 GCF_000001405.40 Homo sapiens
GAATTCTCCTTCCCTGTTTTCTCTGCTCCTCTTCCTCTGGTCGAAGCCCTCTTCCTTTCTCGCTCTGCTTACTCAGCATGTCCAAAGAGTCAGGCTGACACTACCAGAAGCGAGTCATCGATTTTAGCGTGACAAGTGGGATGGCTAGAGATTGTGTGCCATGCACAGTACTGTTCATGAAGTGTTCCTACAACCAGGCTTCAGAGCTCCTTCCCCATTATAGGAAATTCAGGGCATAGAAGTGAAGCAGTATCATGAGGGAGAACAAAGACAGGTGCAGATTGTGGGACATTATGAAGGACAACAAATCAGTGGCAGGGAGGACTGCTCAGGATGAGAGGACCTTTGTGAGAAAGTGGTGTGCAGGGTGGACCTTGTCAGGATTCTGATTCCAATAGACAGACTGCAAAAAGAGAAATACTTGTGATAATCAAGTATGTATGACTGTGGACTATGTATGGGATGATAATCAGAATCATTGAGCACATCTTCAGGAGCGATCACAGCAATGTGATTATGGGAGAAAGTGTCCCTACTTTTAGTGATACATGTTGAAGTGTGTAGAGATGGAACAACATGATGTCAGGGATTTGACTTGAAATATTCCAACAACACAACAACAAAGAAAATACTTCAATGGTCACATCTCTTCCTCCATACCCGCCTAGATCTGCTCCACCTTGTGTTTTATGACCTCAGAGTCTATCAGTGGCCTCCGCCCCTTTGCTCAAGTTGGAAACCTGAGAATCATTGCTGATTCTCTTACACGTCAGCTTCCACTTCCAACCAAGTGTGAAGCTTTTGCAATTTTATCTCCTCAATATTCCTCATATCCTCTCCTCTCCATCCCCACCGCTACTATCATACATAATTTTAATTCACAATTTCTCCCGTAACCCCCTAACTGGTCTCTTAGCCTCCAGTAAGTAGTAATTGAATTCCCTTAATTACTAGTGGTGTGGAGCATTCATTTGTGCGCTTATTTGCCACATGTATCTTCTTTGTTGAGGAACCTGTTCAAATACTCCGCCCATTTTAAAAATTTGGGTTGAGTTGGGGAGCGGTGGCTCACACCTGTTATTTCACCACTTGGGAGGCCAAGGTGGGTGGATCACCTGAGGTCAGTTCAAGACCAGCCTGGCCAACATGGTGAAACCTCGTCTCTACAAAAATACAAAAATTAGCCAGGCATGATGGCGGGTGCCTGTAATCCCAGCTACTCGCAGGGGTGGGGGTGGGGGATTGGGAGGCTGAGGGGGGAGAATCGCTTGAATCTGGGAAGCTGAGGTCACAGTGAGCCGAGATTGTGCCATTCCACACCAGCCTAGGCAGCAGAGCAAGACTCCATCTGAAAAAAATAAAATTTGGGTTATTTATTTTCTTATTATTGAGTTTTTAAAATTCTTCATACATTCTGGATACAAGGTTTTTTTTGTCATATCTGATTTGCAAATATTTTCTCCAAATCTGTGGCTTGTTTACTTCTCTTAGCAGTAAATTTCAAAGAACAGAAATTTTTAATTTTATCAATTTTTTATTTTTATTTTTATTTTGAGACAGAGTCTCACTCTGTCGCCAGGCTGGAGTGCAGTGGTGCGATCTCGGCTCACTGAAACCTCCGCCTCCCAGGTTCGAGCGATTCTCCTGCCTCAGCCTCCCGAGTAGCTGGGACTACAGGTCCCAGCTCGTATAGCCAGCACGCCCAGCTAATTTTAGTATTTTTAGTAGAGAAGGGGTTTCACCATGTTGGTCAGGATGGTCTCAATCTCTTGACCTTGTGATCCACCTGCTTCTGCCTTCCAAAGTGCGGGGATTACAGGCATGAATCAACGTGGCTGGCCCCAAACTTTTATCACATTTTAAAAAGTTTTATACATTGTGCTTTGATGTTGTATCAAAGAATTGTTTGCCTTATCCAAAATCAGAAAGATTTTCTTCATTGTTTACTTTTAGGCACTTCCTAGTTTTAGGTTTACATTTAGTTACATGACCTATTTTGAATTAACTCTCATATATGCTAAGAAATATAGACAAAAGTTGATTTTTTTGCATATGGTTATCTGAGGTTCTAGCACAATTTGTTGACAGCTTTTGCAGCTTGTTGGAAATACTGCATATATTAAAGCAACAGAATAGAGGATCCTGCAATATATATCAGCAAATGTATAAACAGATACATAGATATAGAGATGGATATACACAAAATATTTTTGTATCTGTATATACAGTTCTGAATTTCATATCATATATATTATAGTTTTATTGTTGAAATCAGGTAAAGTTAATTTATCAAATTTGTTCTTTTTTCAGTTATTTTGGCTCTTCTAGATCGTTTGCATTTTCTTATGAATTTCAGAATCAGCTTGTCAATATCTACCAAAAAATATTAAAATCCTGCTAGAATTTTGACTAGGATTGTGTTGAAACTATCTATCAATTTGGGGAACATTTATGTTCTAAATATTGGTTTCCAGGGCATGAAGACAGTGTATCTCTCCATGTATTTGGGTTATCTTTAATGTTTCTCAGTATTCCACAGTTTTCAGTGTACAGGTCATGCACATCTTTTGTCAGATTTATTCCTAAGAGTTTAATATATTTTGATGCTACTTTAAATGGCATTGCTTTTAAAATTCCAATTTCTGGTTATTTGTTGCTAGTATAAAATGCAATTGGTTTTTGTATATTGTTCATGTATCCTGCAACCTTGCTAAACTCATTTATTAGTTCTAATAGCTTTTTTTGTATTTTATATTGAATTTTCTACATAGATGTTCATTTTGTCTGTGTGCAGTTTTGCTTCTTTCTTTCTATCCTGGACGTATTCTATCTCAGCTTCTTGTCTGGCTAGGATTTCCACAACAATGTTAAATGTAAGCGTGGTGAGAGCAAACATCCCATCTTGTTCCTGATAAGACAAACAAGAAAGCATTGAGTGTTTCGTTACTAACAATGATGTTAGCTGTAGGATTTTTCACAGATGCCTTTTATCAGGATGAGGAAGCTCCCTTCTAAATGTTCCAAATGTAAATATATGACTTCATCAAATGTGTTTACTGCATCTATTGACATGATCATTTATTAATATGGTGCAATACATTGATTGATTTGAGGATGTTCAACCAACCAACCTTTCTGAGATACATTATATTTGTCCACGGTACAATATAATTTTTATGTATTGTTGGAACTGATTTGCTAACATTTTGTAAAGAACTTTTATATCTAAATTCAAAAAGAATATTTGTTTATAGTTTTTTTGTAATATCTTAGTCTAGCTTTGGTATCAAGGTGATACTAGCCTTATAAAATAAGTTGGTAACTAGTTCCTACTCTTCAATTTTCTGAAAGAGTTTAAGTATAATTGGTAATATTTCTTCCTTAGAGGTTTGAACAAAAAACTTCAGAGAAGCAATCTGGGGTTAGAGTTTCCTTTGTAGGATGAGCATTTAATTAAAATTCAATTACTTCAATAAATATAGAGTTATTCAATTATCTGATTCTTCTTGAGTGAGCTACAGCAATTTGTATCTTTCAAAAAAATTCTCATTTCATCTCAGTTACAAAATTTATTAGGTAATGCTGTACACAGTATTCCCTTACTCCATTTTTAATTTTTACAAAATCTGTGCTGGTATAGTTTCTTTCATACCTGATATTAGGAATTTGTCTCTTTTTTGTTTTGATGATCAGCCTGCTAGAAGTTTATAAATATTTGGTTTCATAGATTTTTCTCTATTTTTTTTTTGTTTTATTGATGTTCACTCTGATCTCTAGTATTTCCAAAATTGTTTTTTGTGTTTAATTTGATCTTGTTTTTCCAATTATTAAGGCAGAAGCTGGGGTAGTTAATTAATCTAAAATCTATTCTCTTTTCTACTATAGTGTTTAATCCCATAATTTTACACACAAATATTGCCTTATCAGCATTCCACACATTTTGAAATATTGTTTTCACTCTCACTTAGCTGAAAATGCATTGGTTTCTCTTTTGAAATCTTCTTTAGCCCTTGCAATATGTAGACATGTGTAATTCATCATCCTAATACTTGACGTTTTTCCAGAAAAGTTATTATTATTAACTTCTAATTTATTTCCAATGTGGTCCAAGAACATACTTCATATGACTTAAATCACTCCAAATATTCTGAGACTTGCTTTCTGGCACAGAATGTACTCTATCTTGATAAATATTCTGTGTTTGCTTGAGAAGAGTTTATATTATGTGACTGTCAGGTGGACTGATTTATAAATATCAATAAAATCAAGTTATTTGATAGTTTTATTTTTTTAAGTCTGCTGTATCTTCACTGATTTTTTTTCTACTTGTTCTACTAATTATTGATAGTGAGTGATGTAATCCCCAACTATAATTGTGGAATTGTCTATTTCTCTTTTGAGTTCTATTGGTGTTTGTTTCATTTGTGTTGAGGCTCTGTGATGACATACGTAGTGCTTGTTATTCTTAGAATTATCACGTCCTCCTGAGAAGCGGACCCTGTTCTCCTTACAAAACGACATTCTTCATCCCTGATAATATTCTCTTATCTGATGTCTACTTTATCTGATATGAATATAGCCACTCCAGCTTTCATTTGATTCATGGTAACTCTTTTTCAATCTTTTACTTTTAATATGTTTGTATCTTTACATTTAAAATGTCTTTCTCACAGGCAGCATGTACTTGGGTCTTCATTTTTTTCATCAAAGCTGACAACCTCTACCTTTTAATTGGGATGCTTAGAACATTTAACAAGATTTTTGAAATGGTTATGTTACACCTGTGATCTTGTTATTCATCTTTTACTCAATCCATCTGTTCTTTGCTCCCCTTTCCTGTTTAGTGCCCTGTTTTGGATTTTGTTGTTGTTGTTGTTATTCCATCTCATCTTCTTTGTTGGCTTATATGATAACAAAACTTTTTGTTTTGTTATTTCAGTGGTTGCTTTACAACTCTAAGTTACTGCAGCCTACTTTCACATGTTATCTTACTTCATGTGTGGTGTAAGAACCTTCCAGTAACATGCTTTCATTTTTCCTTTCCTGGCCTTTCGCTATTGTTGTCCTGCATTTCACTTACACATAAATTACAAACTACACAAAACACTGTTGTTATTTCTGTATAAAATTCAATTATTATTTCAAGATTTTTTAATGGAGGGGTCTTATACATCTTCCTACACAGTTACTTTCCAGAGCTCTTCATCCTTTATTACAGATCAATATTTCCATCTGATATCATCTTTCTTCTGCCTGAGGAGTTCCTATTTTATTTCCTGTGCAGCAGGTCTGCTGGTGATACATTCTTACAGTTTTTTTCTGCCTGGATATATCTTTATTTCCCCTTCATTTTGGAAAGTTATTTACACTGGTTACAGAATTCAGAGTTAACAGTATGTCCTCTTTTAGAATTTAAAATATTTTTTCTATATCCTCCCAGATTCTGGTATCTGTGATGAGAACTCTGGCAGCATCCTTTGTTAATCTTTATGTATGGTGTGTCCCATCCCTCTATGTCTGTATCACTAGGGTTCAATACTTTGATTACTATGAACCTTTGTGGAGTTCTTCATATTTCTTATAGGTGGGCTTTACTGAGTTTCTTGGATAAGAGATTTATAGTTTATATCAAATTTGAAAACATTTTGGCCATTTTTTTGTATTATTTTTTCTGTCCCTCCTCTTTTCAGTCCTTCTAGGACTCAAATTACATGTATTATTGGCTGCTTGAAGGTGTTCCACAGTTTAGTTTCTTAAAATCCTTTTACTCTATTTCCTTTTGGATAGTTTTTATTGCTATGTCTTGTATTTGGCAATGTTTAATCTGCTATTAATCATGTTCTGTGTATTTTTCATCTCAAATTTATAAGTAAGAGTTTTTGGGTGGGCATGGTGGCTCACACCTGTAATCCCAGCCTTTTGGGAGACTGAAGTGGGCTGATCATTTGAGCTCAGGAGTTTGAGACCAGCCTGGGCAACAAGACAAAACCCCATGTTTACAAAAATTAGCCAGGTGTGGTGGCACATGCCTGTAGTCCCACCTACTCAGGAGGCTGAAGTTGAGGATAGCTTAAGCCCAGAAGGCAGAGGTTACAGTGAGCCGAGATCACGCCACTGCACTCCAGCCTGGATGACATAGCCAGACCCTGTCAAAAAAAAAAAACAAAAACTTTCATAACCAATTATATAACCATTCTACTACTTAGAGGAACAAAAAAGTCAATAATTCACGATTTAAAAGCTACTAAAAACATAAAATATAAAACTATGCACTAAGGAGTTTTATATATAAATTTACCCATTAAATAAATATGTGTATGTACTTCTTTAATTTAAAAAATTCTAATGACTTACAGTTTATACCACAAGATTATTTATACAAACAGATTATTCTCATTCCAGAGTGGGCTTTTTGGGGGATGAAGTTTACTAAGCAATTTACAATGTTCTGTGAAAATCATCAGCTTTTTCAGGTTCTGTAGTAAAGTTATAAAAGTTCTAGGCACCATATCTTTTTAAACCATAAGAAAATACGAGGGCACATGTGTGTATGTATGTATGCATGAATGCTTTTATGGCAGTTTTATTCGTAATTACCAAAAACTGGAAACAACCCAAATGAACTGGGGAATGAATACAGAACCTGTTGTACATCCATACAACGCAATGCTACTAAGCAACAGAAAGTAATTACTGATACATAAAAACATGGATGAATCTCAAAATACATTAGGTTAAATAAAAGACGTCCGTCTCAAGAAGCCACATACTGAGTCAAGCAGGGGGATCCCTTGAGACCAGGAGCTTGAGGCCAGCATAGGCAATATAACAAGGCCTCCCATTTCTATTAAACAAACAAAAATTAAAACAAAAAGGCTAAATACTGCGTGATTTTGTTTACACGGAATTCTGAAAAGAAAAAAAAAAAAAAGACAAGACAGAGAAAAAAACAGATCAGTGGTGGCCAGAGACTAGAGGTAAGGAAATGGGCTGACTATGGAAAGGGTCATGAGGAAATCTTTTGAGAAACTAACTCTATATCTTGATCATCATGGTGGTTGCACAACTAGATGTGTTTCCCAGTCTTACAGAACCATATTCAAATACACCTTAATAAAGATAATTTTCAACCATACATATGATAGAATCATAATTATTACTCTTATACTAAGACCAAATAGATGCTGCTTAAACCACTGAGGCAAGAACACTAAACCTTGGTCTGATCTGCCTCCAAGTTTGAAAACTCCCTTCCATTAACATTTTGCCTAAAAATTAAACAATATTTGTAAATTAGTCACAAAATCCTTTAAGATTAAAATATACATATATTCTTAAAGAAAACTACCTAGTGCTTGCAACCAAGTCATTTTAGGAGAAAATTAGCTTTGTTAAGAAGGGAATAAAGCCCAAGTAATAAATATTAACATCCATCTTTTCCAGAATCATGATGGTCAAAACAATGAGACTCTTCTCCTAATTTTGGTTCAAAATACCAAAATTTTTACTTCAAAAACTCTCTAACAGATTATTATAAAATCTTAACATTTGCCTAAAAGTCTTTAAGTATTTTCACATAACTAGGCAGTATAACAAAAAAAGAGCACAGGCTTAGGCTGGATGCAGTGGCTCACACCTGTAATCCTAGCATTTTGGGAGGCCAAGGCAGATCGCTTGAGTCCAGCAGTTTGAGACCAGTCTGGGAAATGTGGCAAAACCCCGTCTCTATAAAATACATTAAAACGTGGCCCATACCTGTAGTCCCAGCTACTTCAGGGGATGAGGCAGGAGCATGGCTTGAGCCTTAGAGACAGAGGCTGCAGTGAGCCAAGATCACGCCACTCACTCCACTCTGGGTGATAGAGTGGGACCCTTTCTCAAAAAAAAATTTTTTTTAAAGCACAGGCTCAAGAACTCAACCCACCTAGGCAAGTTATTTAACGTAATTTTCCATCGATTGTATCATCAGTAAAATTGGGATAATTTTACCTACCTCTAGGAATAATCCTAGACTATTACATGAGTTAATACATGTATTATAATAAATCACAGGGTAATGCCTGGCATAGTTAACTAAGTCTCAATACCAACCTAACATAAATGAATGACACCAATAATCACCAGCTGTGTAGTCTTTGCATACCACAATTCTGCCCTGTAAGGTAAGTGGCCTAAATTCAATGGCCTAAATAAAGACCTATCTAGTAATACTACTCTATATTCCTATTATTTTACCTGAATTGCACCTACCTAATTCAGTTTGCAAAAGAAAGGTTAAGTATTATACCTCTTATATATAAAAAAGTGAACTATAAATAAGTTAAATGACTTACCCAAAGAAACAGTAACTTGAAGGCAGAGCCAAGATGAGGATTTGGTATTGAGACTCCTTAAAACTTTGTCCTCTCCAAAATTTTTAGCCCTCCATGAATTCCTTCCCTCCTAACAAAGATACGGGTATAATGCACCCCCAAAAACCTCCAATTTAATAATTTAAAAATTTCATTAAGCTATACATTTGATTTGTGCACTCTTCTGTATGTTTTATATCATAATAGAAAGGTTAAGTGGCTTATTACCTAATACACTAGTATTCACTTGTATTCACATATGAAGAGAAGTAGTGGAAAAGTTACATTAAAAGCTAAAAGGTGACAAACTAAGCAGATTATGTTCTTTAAAATTTTGTGAGAGGCAAAAGTTTTTAACTGAGGTATATAATACATGTACAAAGAAGTGCACACTTCCTAAGTCTACTATTCAATGATTCTCATAAACTGAACACAACCATGAAATCATGACCCAGATCAAGACAGAGAACATTACCAGCACACCTACAATCTCCCTTGTCCTCATCACCAAAGATAACCATTATTCTGATTCCATTCCCATCTGTTAGTTTTGTCTGTTTTTTAAGCTTTACAGAAATGGAGTGCTCGCTTCGGCAGCAAATATACTAAAATTGGAACAATACAGAGAACATTAGCGTGGTCCCTGCACAAGGATGACATGCAAATTGGTGAGGCTTTCCATCTTTTTATTATTACAGTAGTCTGTATTATTTCATATCCAAAAAAATGATCAATATGAAGAATGGGATGAACTAATTAATACTGTGATTGAAGACAATAGCATTATTTGCCTGGGAAACTAAAGACAAAACAACTGGAAAACTACTAAAACTGTTAAAGGAGTCAATTTGCTACTTATGGAATAAACATATACTGTATTCACAGTAACATATATTATGGAATTAAAATCACATTTCTGGCTGGGCACAGTGGCTCACATCTATAACCCCAGCACTCTGGGAGGCCAAGGTGGGAGGATCACTGGAGCTCAGGAGTTCAAGACCAGTGTGGGCAACATAGTGAAACTTCCAAAGAATAGGACTAACTCCACGTGTAGCATCTACATGTGGACAAGCAGGAGTGTTTCCTGATTAAATAACCTAAGTGTCATCTCCATGAATGCATGTATACAACTTTGTTGGATTGAAGGCTCCTCATCTCAACCCCACTGGAGGTAAATGCTATAAAAGTAAGTAATTCAAGAAAGTTTCATCCAAATTAACTCATGTAAAACAAAAACAAAACAAGAAAAATTTGCCACATCAAGGTAATGTTATAAAATGTGTAATGTAACTACTGTCTTTATTTGTGTCTCACTTACAAAGTAGATCTGAACTATGGATTACTACTACTTACTTTGATTAAAAAAACACTGATGTGAGATATTTTTGTAAATTTTCTTTACCCAAAGGTTCACTGCAGCCATAAAAAAGAACAAAATCATATCCTTTGCAGCAACATGATGCAGCTGGAGATCATCATCCTAAGCTAAACATTGGGTAAACATGGACATAAACATGGGAACAATAGATACAGGGAACTAACAGAGAGGAGAGGATGGGAAGGGGCGAAAGCTCAAAACTGCCTACTGGCGGCTGGGTACAGTAGCTCACGCCTATAATCTCAGCACTTTGGGAGGCCAAGGTGGGTGGATTGCTTGAGTCCAGGAGTTCAAGACCAGCCTGGGTAACAGGGCAAAACCCAGTCTCTACAAAAAAATACAAAAAAATAGCAGGGTATGGTGGCCCACCACTGTAGTTCCAGCTACCCCGGAGGCTGAGCTGGGAGGATCGGCTGAGCCCAAGAGGTCAAAACTGCAGTGACCAGTGATTGCAATATTGCAATCCAGCCTGGGGGACAGAGACCTACCTTGTCTCAAAAAACTTAAACAAAACTACATGCTGGGTGCTATGCTTACTACCTGGGTGATGGGATCAATTGTACCCCAAACCTCATGCAATATACCCATGTAACAAACCTGCACACTATTATTATTGCGAGAAACAGAGCTAATTTAGAACAATATATATAGCTTGACCCAATTTGAGGAAAAATTTTACATTTGTATATTTGTTGAAAACAACTATCAATAAAGAACTAAAATTGCATACTATTCATTCATATGACTGAATACTACACAGCTATTAAAATTAATGAAGTAAGGCAGGTGCAGTGGCTCACACTTGTAATCCCAGCTACTCGGGAGGCTGAGGCTCGAGAATCACTTGAAACTGGGAGATGGAGGTTGCCGTGAGCCAAGATTGTGCCACTGCTCTACAACCTGGGTGACAGAGTAAGACTCTGTTTCAAAATAATCATAATAATAATACTACTAATAATACACATATATCAGCATAAATAAATGTAACTTTCCAATTACAGAATGTATGTACCAAAATATCACATAAATTTGAAACACAATAGTACTACATGTTAAATATATGTAGATATTTGTAGGAAGAATATAAGTGCATGAGCTAAAAAGATAAATAACTTCTGCATAAGAAAATAGGATCTAAGAGGATGACAAAAGGGACTCCAACCGTATGCATATTTTATTTTTAAAAACAAATTTAGGCCAGGCACAGTGGCTCACCCCTGTAATCCCAGTATTTTAGGGGGCCAAGACGGGCAGATCACTTGAGGTCGGTTGGAGACCAGCCTGGACAACATAGTGAAACCCCGTCTCTACTAAAAATACAAAAATTAGCCGGGAGTAGTGACAAGCTCCTATAATCCCAGCTACTCAAAAGGCCAAGGCACGAGAATTGCTTGAACTTGGGAGGTGGCGGTTGCAGTGAGCAGGGATTTTACCACTATACACCAGGCTGGGCAACAGAGTGAGACCCCATCTCAAAAATAATAAATAAAAACATATATAAATACACTTTTGAAGCAAATCTGATAAGATGTCAGCATCTATGAAATCTACTGAATGGGCTGGGTGCGGTGGCTCACGCCTGTAATACCAACACTTTGGGAGGCCAAGGTGGGCAGATCACGAAGTGAAGAGATAAGAGACCATCCTGGCCAACATGGTGAAACCCAGTCTCTACTAAAAATACAAAAATTAGCTGGGTGTGGTGGCGTGTGCCTGTAATCCCAGCTACTCAGGAGGCTGAGACAGGAGAATCACTTGAACCCAGGAGGCAGAGGTTGCAGTGAGCTGAAATTGCACCAGTGCACTCCAGCCTGAGCGACAGAGCGAGACTCCATCTCAAAAAAAAAAAAAAAAAAGGAAAGGAAAAAAGAAAAAAAAATCTACTGAATTAGTACCTGGTGTTTGTTAAATTATTCTCCATATTTTTCTAAATTTTTGAAATATTTAAACTTTGCTCTAAAAAAGTCGAGATTTTGGAATTCAGAGACAGGCTTTGTAGATTCAGTACAGGATGTGTGTGTGTGTGTGTGTGTGTGTGTGTGTGTGTGTGTGTGTGTGTGTGTGATAAGCCTGTTATTCTGTACTATAAAATTTCTAACTAAAAAAAAATTATATTAGGTTGGTGCAAATGTAGTTGCAGTTTTCGTATTGTTGAAACTTGCTATTTGATACTGGAATACATTCTTAAATATATGTGGTTATTTATATACCATTTTAATGCACATTTCTCACCTTTTTTGCTAATAACATATTATTTGCTGTTTTATTCTTTTAGACAGTGGAAATTATATTATAAAAAAAAGCAAATTCAAGCGATTTTCTTGAGTTCAAAATGGGTCGCAAAGCAGTGGAGACAACTCGCAACATCAACTACACACTTGGCCCAGGAACTGTGCAATGGTGGTTCAAGAAGTGTTGCAAAGGAGACGAGAGCCTTGAAGATGAGGAGTGTAGTAGCCGGCCAGAAGAAGTTGGCACTGACCAATTGAGAGCAATCATCGAAGCTGATCCTCTTACAACTACACGAGAAATTGCCGAAGAACTCAATGTCAACCATTCTACGCTTGTTTGGCAATTTAAGCAAGTTGGAAAGGTGCAAAAGCTTTTTTTTTTTTTTTTTTTTTGAGATGGAGTCTCACTCTATCACCTAGGCTGGAATGCAGTGGCACCATCTGGGCTCACTGTAACCTCTACTTCCCGGGTTAAAGTGATTCTCGTGCCTCAGCCTCCCTAGTTGCTGGGATTACAGGCACCCACCACCACACCCGATTACTTTTTGTATTTTTAGTAGAGCTGGGGTTTCACCATGTTGGCCAGGCTGGTCGTGAACTCCTGGCCTCAAGTGATCTGCCCGCCTCAGCCTCCGAAAGTACTGGGATTACAGGCGTGAGCCACCACGCCCTGCCAAAAGGTGAAAAAGCTTGATAAGTGGGTGCCTCATGAGCTGACCAAAAATTTTAAAAATCGTCGTTTTGAAGTGTTGTCTTCTCTTATTCTACATAACGACGACGAACCATTTCTTAGTTGGATTGTGACGTTTGACAAAAAGTGTATTTTATACAACAACAGTGATGACCAGCTCAGTGGTTGGACCGAGAAGATGCTCCAAAGCACTTCCTGAAGCCAAACTTTCATCAAAAAGAGGTCAGGGTCACTGTTTGGTGGTCTGCTCCTGGTCTGATCCGCTACAGCTTTCTGAATCATAGTAAAACCAATACATCTGAGAAGTATGCTCAGCAAATCGATGAGATGCACCGAAAACTGCGAGGCCTGCAGCTGGCACTGGTCCACAGAAAGGGTCCAGTTCTTCTCCACGACAACACCCGACAACATGTTGCACAACCAACATTTCAAAAGTTGAATGAATTGGGCTTGGGCTACAAAGTTTTGCCTCATCCACCATATTGAACTGACCTCTCACCAACCGACTACCACTTTTCCAAGCATCTAGAAAATTTTTTGCAGGGAAAATGCTTCCACAACCATCAGGATGCAGAAAATGCTTTCCAAGAGTTCATCGAATCCCGAAGCATGGATTTTTATGCTACAGGAATAAACAAACTTATTTCTCATTGGCAAAAAATGTGTTGATTGTAATGTTTCCTATTTTGATAAAGATGTGTTTGGGCCTAGTTATAATAATTTAAAATTCGCAATCCAAAACCACCATTAATTTTGTACCAACCTAACAGTACCTACATTTATTACCTCAACTGCTCTTCAACTTTCTTTTTTTGAGACAGAGTATCCCTCTGTCACCCAGGCTGGAGGGCAGTGGCACAAATCTCGGCTCACTGCAACCTCCACCTCCAGGGGTCAAGTGATTCTCCTGCCTCAGCCTCCTGAGTAGCTGGGATTACAGACGTCCACCACCACGCCCGGCTAATTTTTGTATTTTTAATAGAGACGGGGTTTTGCCATGTTGGCCACGCTGGTCTCAAACTCCTGATCTCATCTGTCCACCTTGGCCTCCCAAAGTGCTGGGATTATAGACATGAGCCACTGCGTTCAGCCTAATCTTACTCTTTAAAAGAACAAAGTAAGGGCAGACAATAACGAATGTCTTAACCCAGAAATCTCACCTTTTTGAATGATGTTCTCCATTCACAGAAGCATTTAAAACACTACAAGTGTGCAGTAAACAGCAAAAGCCAACAAGCTCTAATCACTTAAACTCTAGAGAATATATGACACAGCTCTTCCTAAAATATCACCAGATGGGTATATAAACGTAGAACGGCTTAACTCCCAGCTGTATATTAACACCAAATCTCCAATAAGCCTATACTGTCATAATAAAAATCATTTGCCTAAATCTCTTCCAATTCATATTAGATGTATTAATATAAACCATATCCTACCTGAGTTGCTACAACTCCACTTGATATTTAAAACACACCACAACACACAAGCACACAAACACACATACACGGATACAGAACTTGGGAGTTCAGGCTGAGTTCTGCATTTACAGAGTTCATAGAAACCAATTTTTCTTAAGGTATCTTTCATAATTCTCAATCAGCTTATTAAAAAGAGAAAAACTAGATGGCTCAGTCCTCTTGTGTTTAACTGTGATCAAATCCCACAATGTCTTCAGTCATAGTAGAGTTCACAATGATAAAGTTCAAATAAGCTTACCTGCCCCATTCCTCCCATACTACTTCCTACAGCTGCCACTCGTCTTAGGAACTGGAGCCAGTTAACCACCCACTTTCTCAATGGTGACTGTGACCTAAACCTTCACAAGACATCCAGTGAAAAATAAAGACTTTAAAATAGCAGTTTTTGGCTGAGCGTGGTGGCTCAGACCTGTAATCCCAGCACTTTGGAAGGCCATGGGCGGATCACCTGAGGTCAGGAGTTCAAGACCAGCCTGGCCAACATGGTGAAATCCCATCTCTACTAAAAAATACAAAAATTAGCTGGCTGTGGCCAGCTTGTGCCTGTAGTCTCATCTGCTTGGGAGGTCGAGACATGAGAATCGCTTGAACTTGGGAGGCAGAGGTTATAGTGAGCTGAGATCACACCATTTCACTCCAGCCTGGGTGACAGAGTGAGACTCTGTCTTAAAAAATAAAAATAAAATAGCAATTTTTCCTACTTATAAAAGTAATACATGCTCATTGTAGAAAAATGGGAAACTATAGAAGAATAAGAAGCAAAAAAGCCACATTATCCCACCGAGACAGAAATTAATCACTACTAATATTTCCATTCATGGCAATCCAGGGTCTCTTCTGTATATCAAAGTGTATTAGTTCATTTACCAAACAGGATTTTAAGTACTGCAGAACAAGGGGGAAGTAGCATACTAATTCTTTGGAAGACTAATTTTCTTCAGTGTAAAGAAGTTACACTTACTGCTGAGTAAGTCAACCATATGTACAGGAAACTGGAGAGAATGACAAAGGTGAGGGAAATCATGCCTGCTTTTTCTTCATTCACTCACAGCAAACCATGGAGTCCATGTTTTGGGAACCATTATGTATGCAAAGACCAACTAATGAGTATGTTTCCTTTACAAATAGCAGCCTACTAAATAAACAAATACATACATACATATATACGAATATACAGTCTTGCCACAGGAGTTACACACACAGTGAAAGGAATGACATTAAGAGTATTTTTAAAATTATTATACTTTAAGTTTTAGGGTACATGTACACAACGTGCAGGTTAGTTACATATGTATACATGTGCCATGTTGGTGTGCTGCACCCATTAACTCGTCATTTAACATTAGGTATATCTCCTAATACTATCCCTCCCCGCTCCCCCCAACCCACAACAGGCCCTGGTGTGTGTGATGTTCTCCTTCCTGTGTCCATGTGTTCTCTTTGTTCAATTCCCACCTATGAGTGAGAACATGCGGTGTTTGTTTTTGTCCTTGCAATAGTTTGCTGAGAATGATGGTTTCCGGCCTCATCCATGTCCGTACAAAGGACATGAACTCATCATTTTTTATGGCTGCATAGTATTCCATGGTGTATATGTGCCACATTTTCTTAATCCAGTCTATCATTGTTGGACATTTGGATTGGTTCCAAGTCTTTGCTATTGTGAATAGTGCCGCAATAAACATACGTGTGCATGTGTCTTTATAGCAGCATGATTTATAATCCTTTGGGTATATACCCAGTAATGGGATTGCTGGGTCAAATAAATGGGATCTAATTAAACTAAAGAGCTTCTGCACAGCAAAAGAAACTACCATCAGAGTGAACAGGCAACATACAGAATGGGAGAAAATTTTTGCAATCTACTCATCTGACAAAGGGCTAATATCCAGAATCTACAATGAACTCAAACAGATTTACAAGAAAAAGACAAACAACCCCATCAAAAAGTGGGTGAAGGATATGGACAGACACTTCTCAGAAGAAGACATTTATGCAGCCAAAAGACACATGAAAAAATGCTCATCATCACTGGCCATCAGAGAAATGCAAATCAAAACCGCAATAAGATACCATCTCACACCAGTTAGAATGGCGATCATTAAAAAGTCAGGAAACAACAGGTGCTGGAGAGGATGTGGAGAAATAGGAACACTTTTACACTGGTGGTGGGACTGTAAACTAGTTCAACCATTGTGGAAGTCAGTGTGGTAATTCCTCAGGGATCTAGAACAAGAGTATGTTTTTTGTCACCATGAAAGTATCTTAAGAGACAGTAAAGGGATATGTGAAAGGTTGATCTAAAATTCATGACCTCTTCCACAAAAATAGTTTCTGTGCACATAAGATGAAGGAACAATCTAACTACGGAAAACGTAACTGTTGATTTTATAATGCTATAACTTATTTACACGTATAAATAAATATGCAGGAGTTTAAACAGTTAGTCCACAAATATTGATAGCTTACTCTGTACCAGGCAATGTATTAACTGCTAGGGAGTAAGGGAGAGAACAGCCACCAGTCCCTATTTCTGCAGAACTTTCAATCTGTCTCTTGAAGTATGATGTCAAACACTAGGCATGTGGCCTCAAGCAAGTCACAACAGTCCTGATTAAATGATGATCTCAAATCCTTGTGATGATCTAAGAAGATATATGTGAAAGTAGCTTATAAATCATGTTACCTAAAGTAAAAAGAGATATGTAGCCATTTGTGCAAAGCACTGTTTATAGCAATCATCTTCAATAGAAATTATCTTTATTTATTTGTTTATTTTTTGAGATGGAGACTCGCTCTGTCACCCAGGCTGGAGTGCAGTGGCGTGATCTCGGCTCACTGCCACCTCTGCCTCTGGGGTTTAGGCCATTCTCCTGCCTCAGCCTCCTAAGTAGCTGGGACTACAGGCACCCACCACCACGACTGGCTAATTTTTTGTATTTTTAGTAGAGATGGGGTTTCAACTGTGTTAGCCAGGATGGTCTCCATCTCCTGACCTTGTGATCCGCCCACCTTGGCCTCCCAAAGTGCTGGGATGGCAGGTGTGAGCCACCGCGCCCGGCCTCTCATTTCTTTTAACTGGCAAAAAATAATCACTCAAGTTGCTTAATATAATCTCTTTTGACAGTCTCTAAGATTTTGATATTATCTTTCTCTGCCAATGACCCATATGAAGTAACTGAAATTAATTTTCCCATGATGGGGGAGAAAAGATTCACTTTTTTCTAATACAAAAAGCTTTATTTCCTGATTTCATAATTTATAGGGGTTAGGGGGCAGGCAGCCACAGATCAAAAGCAACTTATTCAAACTCAAGAAAAAAATTATCTTTTAATCTAAGAATCACCATGGAAAGTTTGTTATAGGCTCAGGCTAATCCAAATAGTTAGTGACAGGTTAATTGTGGTACTTTGAAAGCAAAGGAGAGCAAGTAGCAATTATTCTTCCCTTCACTCAGTCTCTAACACCTAACCTCTTAAAAAACAGGGAGATATATATTATAGCCAAATTGCTTTCCAAAAAACATAATTTTTAAAAATATGCTCTACACAGTATCAACTGTTTGTATCTAAAAGAAATAGACTATTTACATTGCTTTTTATCCTACGATTTATCCTTTTCAAATTCAGCCACCTCAACGATGCAAAAAAGTATCAAACTGATGCTTTAAATTTATTTTTGCCCTTATTGCAGATACGACTCTAAAGAGCATGGGGAGTTTTTTTTTTTTTTTTTTTGAGATGGAGTCTCGCTCTGTCACAGACGTTGGAGTGCCGTGGTGCAATCTCGGCTCACTGCAACCTCCACCTCCTGGGTTCAAGAGATTATCCTGCCTCAGCCTCCCGCGTAGCTGGAACTACAGGCGTGTGCCACCACGCCCAGCTAGCTTTTTGTAGTTTTGTAGAGATGGGGTTTCACCGTGTTAGCCAGGATGGTCTCAATCTCCTGACTTCATGATCCACCCGCCTCGGTCTCCCAAAGTGCTGGGATTACTGGCGTGAGCCACCATGCCCGGCCTAGCATGGGACATTTTAAAGGCATTCATAATCCAACTAAACAGGACCACCTGCAAAACTAGTGAAATGCCCAAAAACAAACATGTATAAATGCCCAATATTAAACCTCAAGGGTCTAAAGCAGTAGTATCCAAAGCAAGTATAACATACCTCCAGGAGATCGGGCATGGTGGCTCACACCTGGAATCCCAGCACTTTGGGAGGCTGAGGCTGGCGGATCACTTGAGCCCAGGAGTTCAAGACCAGCCTGACCAACATGGGAAAACCCATCTCTACCAAAGAATACAAAAATTAACCAGGCATGGTGGCAGACACCTGTAATCCCAACTGCTCAAGTGGCTGAGGCACAAGAATCACTTGAACCCAGGAGGCGGAGGTTGTAGTGAGCCAAGATTACACCACTGCACACCAGTCTGGGTAACAGAGCAAGACTCTTGTCTCAAAAATATGTATATAGATCATATATTATTATATATACATATATATTATACATATACACACACACACATATACACATGCCTGCACACACACACACCTCCAGGAGTACCCAAGAAGCCCCAGGGTAAAAAAGGAAAATATTTGAACTTTATTTTTAATTATCATCCTTGTTAATTTTTTGTTTGTATTTTAAAGTCCACAATAATCAGTTACTATATGTTTATTACTTGTAAATTAAATATCTAAGGATTAAGAACTGATGCTCAATATTTTTCTTTTTCTCTTTTTTCAAAGCAACAACATGAAGTTGTATCAATTTTTTTTCCTGACTTCATTCTTCCCATCCCATCAGTTTTTTGTTTTTTTTTTAAAGAGACAGGGTCTCACTATGTTGCCCAGGCTGGAGTACAGCGGCGGTATTCATAAGCACAATCACAGTGAACTTTAGCCTTGAACTCCTGACCTCAAATATCCTCCTGCCTAAGCCAACTACGTAGCTGGGACCACAGGACCACGTACCACACCTGCTTAATGCTCAAAAGTTTTTGGTGATGGGGTAAGCAACCAAAGTTTGGAGACCACTGGTCTACACGACTCATTGTCACTGAACTTTCATTTTTATCAGCTCCCTCCCAAGAGTTAAGCTATGGAAGTAAGTCCTGATGCTGAAAAAGAAACAGAAGAAAAACTGTTTCAAACTATTTTGAACTCCCAACAAGCTAAAGATGACAAATCACTAGCAAGAATATATGGAATTGAATACTAATATGCTGTTGACGGGAATTTCAAATAGACATCCTATCTAAAGGGCATCTTGAGTATATCCACATTTAAAACACACATACCCTTTGACCTAATAAGCCCTTTTTTTTTTTTTTTTTTTTTTTTTTTAGAATGAGTCTCACTCTGTCGCCCAGGCTGGAGTGCAGTAGCTTAATCTCGGCTCACTGCAGCCTCCGCCTCCTGGGTTCAAGTGATTCTCTGTGCGTCAGCCTTCCAAGTAGCTGGAATTATAGACCCTCGCCACCACACCAGACTAATTTTTGTATTTTAGTAGAGATGGGGTTTCACCATTTTGGCCAGGCTGGTCTTGAACTGCTGACCTCAGGTGATCCACCCACCCGCCTTGGCCTCCCAAAGTGCTGGGATTACAGGCATGAGCCACCATGCCTGGCTAATAAATCCGCTTTTAAGAATTTATCCTGGGCCAGGCGCGGTGGCTCAGGCCTGTAATTCTAGCACTTTGGGAGGCCAAGACGGCCGGATCACGAGGTCAGGAGATCGAGACCAGCCTGGCCAACATGGTAAAACCCCATCTCTACTGAAAATGCAAAAAATTAGCTGGGCGTGGCGGTGCACGGCTGTACTCCCAGCTACTCAGGAGGCTGAGGCAGGAGAATCACTTGAACCTGGGAGGCAGAGGCTGCAGTGAGCCAAGATCATACCACTGCACTCCAGCCTGGGTGACAGAGTGACTCTGTCTCAAAAAAAAAAAAAATTATCCTAAGGAAATAATAGGACAATTCAATGCCCAAACAAGTTCATCACAGTACTACTTTAAGAGAAAAATTGGCAATATCCATTAACAACACAGAACTGCTATAAACTATGATGCATCCATATTATAGAACACTAAATACTCATTTACTCATTAAGGGAATATCAATTTTACATGGAAAGTTGTTCTTTTTTAAGGTATTTCAATAGGTATGCATAAGAAAAAAAATGAAAACACCAAACATCACATCCAGATGGGATTACAGGTTATCTCTACTTTTTTTAAAAAAGAAAAACATTAAAACTGTTCTGGGCCAGATGCATTGGCTCACGCCTGTAATCCTAGCACTTTAGGAGGCCAAGGCAGGTGAATCACCTGAGGTCAGGAGTTAGAAACCAGCCTGGCCAACATGGTGAAACCCTGTCTCTACTAAAAATACAAAAATTAGCCAGGTATGGTGGTGGGTACCTGTAATCCCAGCTACTCGGGAGGCTGAGGCAGCAGAATTGCTGGAACCCAGGAGGCAGAGGTTGCAGTGAGCTGAGAAAACGCCACTGCACTCCAGCCTGGGTGACACAATGAGACTCCATCTAAAAAAAAGTTCTGTAGCTTTCATAATCAGAAATAATTTCACTTTGAAATTTAAAATGAGATTAAGTTAAAACTCCAAATTATTGTCCTGTATCACTTCTAAAACTCTTTGTAAACACTCTGTCTTCCCATGTCATTTGTGGATCAGTCTAAATACTTAATCTAATATTTGGTTTATCTCATGGAAAAATGATAGGCATATAATAAACAACAACCCTGTTTCAAGTTAACCATCTTGTCTTTATACCAATTCTTGCCAGTTATGTCATGATTTATCAATATACTTATAACTTCCTTATATTCTGCCAGATTATAAATCTATGAATAATTCTGAAAATTATTCAGAAATTTCTATCTCTCTTCTGCAACTAAGTTACAAAAGTATTAACTACTTCGGGAGGCTGAGGCAGGGAGAATCACTTGAACCTGGGAGGCGGAGGTTGCAGTGAGGCGAGATCATGCCATTGCACTCCAGTCTGGGTGACAGAGCAAGACTCTGTCTCAAAAAATATATATATATGTATTAACTACTAAAGAAATTAGATTTAGACCCCAGATAAGTGAAATCAGAAAAGCTTGCTACCATCTGTCATAACAGAATCATTCTGAATATCTATAGTTATCAGATCAAGACAATACCTGTGTGGTTAACAAGTACTCCACACTCCATCTTAAGGGAAAAGAGTACTTAAGAAGATTATTATAGCATAAGTTTATGTGCTTTGTTCATTAATTCAACAATTTAGAACAAAGCTATGAGGTATTTCACCGCTAACAGAATAGCTTTAAGGTAACCCATCTTCACAATTTTCTCTTTGTTTTCATTTGTTTCATGCCTTATTATTTTATAGACAGTCATTCTATCGGCATTGCACAAGTACTATGTCCCTAAACAACTACGACCAAGTTTTATCACGACCCAAAAGAAAAAATAACTTTCTAGGCCAGGTGCAGTGGCTCATGTCTATAATCCCAGCACTTTGGGAGACCAAGGCAGGACTACTCAAGCCCAGGAGTTCAAGACCAGCCTGGGCAATGTAGCAAAACCCTGTCTCTACAAAAAATGAAAATAATAATTTTTAAAAAGAAAAAATACATTTTACACGGCAACCAAGTATACATACATAAACATATCTTTTAAAAAGAAAGAGAAGTTTCCCAAATCAATATTTACTTTTACTTTACACAATGTACTGATATATTCTTTTTTAAAATGCTTTTTAAAATAAGTACATTGATTTCATTACCCTATGACACTGCCACCTGCTACTTAAAAATGTAGCCTTAAAACTTTATGCAGAGTGTGCTAAACTCCTTGCTCCTACCACCTTCTCCCACGACTCCAACATAAGAAAATGGGTAAAATCTAGCAAGTCTATTCTAAGTACAGACCTTGGCATAAATGTGAGACACCCCAGGTTCCTCTGAAGTCCCTGCAACATTGTGATTATTCCAACTGGCAGACAGGATACATTTGCTGAAAGGTTTCTCCAGCCAGACTACAGAAGCAGAAACCTTTTCTGTTGCCTTATCAGTGATATTGCTAAATTCTGCACTTGACAATGTGGACCAGGTTTACTACTGCTCCACAAGCCAATTCTTCCAAGAAATAAAACAGGATTCCAATATCATAGGATTCTAATACCAGACCCTTACATTTTTTGAATACTTTTCAAACACATTATTCCGTTGCATTCTCCCCCTGGCAGTCTGTTAGAAAAGTAGAGAAGCTGCTCTTCTTCCTTTCACTAATGAAGGAATTGGAGCTCAGAGGGGTTACGTGGCTTGCCAGAAACAACACGGCTAATGAAGAATACAACGCAGGCTTGAACCCAAGATTTACTCATCTATCCACTTTTATGCTACAATTTTCATTTTTAATATCTGATACAAGTATGAACTTAAAAAGTATATTGTTTCTAGATACAAAAGCAAAGGTGAAAGCATGATATCAATATTGATGATACCAAAAAATTAAGATTAAAAATAGCAATGACATGTTAATAATTTTGGAGGCCTCTAAAGTTACTGGCAGTCCTAGTTCAATCCAATATGAATCTGATATCATCTTATATCTTCAATCAATGTTACATGATTATAAATTTATGTATATATTCACCATAGAAAATTACAGAATTGGGTGGTAAGAAACAACTAGCTATATAAATTGCACATACTCCCCCAAATCATTCTCAAGTCTTGTGGCTTCACACTAAATTATGAAGTTCCCAATGTAAAACCTGATTTGATTTCAACACTAAGCGAATTACAACAGCATAAGCATGTTCTTACTACATAATACTTGCAACATACATTCAATTTCCGAAGCACTTTTGGACAATGTCTAAAATCCATAAGCTAAAAGCAGAACCCAACACAGAATCTTGTTTCTTTTAAATGGCAAAGGTTAGTCTACCTATATGAGATGAATACCAAATAACATAATTAGAACTTATTAAAAATTTACAGAATCAGGCTAGAGAAACTACTTGAGGTCAAAGACTATAGGCCCTTAATTGTATAGATGAGAAAATTGATGCCCAGAGAAGTTAAGTGACATTCCCAACAGCAATTAATGACACAGATGGAATCAGAATATATGTCTATCTGTCAATCCAGAACTTCCCATTATTCTATATTACCTCTGCATTTAATGTGCTCTTAAAAAAGTCACTAACATCTAAAACACTTAAGACACATTAAGACTCAAAAACCAGGGGACACAACAATGTTCACGACAGTCTTTAGAAAACAATTTCTTAAAGGAATCTCAAAAATTCCAAACAACAAGCACTGAAAGCTGGCTCTTTATTTTTTTTATTTTCTTTCCTATCCAGAGCCCTACTTGATCAAAAACTGGCTCTTTAATCCATTGCAAATTATCAAGTAGCTTTTAATAACTAACACGGCTATAAACCACCATAACTGTTCTTTTTTCCATATCAATACTATTCACTTACTAAAAAAAAAAATCTGAGGGTATAGAATATGCTGATAACTGTGCTGGGTATTGGCGACACCAGGGAACAAAACAGACGAGGCCTCTGGCTCTTCTAATGGACAGCTGGGTGCAACTCTCTAAAAATACTACTTCATGATTTGACAGGATATTTGCCAAAGTCCTTCACTACTCTACACAACTATAACAACATTTTCTTCCACCTCTTCCAAACTTATAATAACCTTCACCACACCCCCTCTAAAACGTGAATACGTCCTTTGGTAACTCAGCATTCTACTTCACTAAAGAAGGTGTGAACGTGTTAACTAGAACTACAGCAGATTTTTAAACTGACTTTACCACTCCTCACGGCCTGCGGCAAATTTCAAGAACTTTTCACAATCTGTAGTAACCCTTCCTGGTTCACAACCCTGATCTCAAATGACTGCTAACACACCCATCCTACCCTCCACTAGAAATCTGAGTCAGATGGTTTAGGAGCAACCATGTTAGGGAGCATCTTCAGTGGACCCCTTTATGAGCCAGAAGCTGACTTACTTCCTCTCCTTCTCTGTTTATTTCCTCTGGATTCTTGTGTATCTCTGGATACAATGTATCTCCAATTAATCAGCATCTAATTTTATCAAGTGTGTTCCTGATAACTTGTGCACAAATTAACTTTTGGCAACAAATCTGTTTCACCTACACAAATCCATTATATTTTAAGAGATGCTCAATTTGCATCCTTTAAGTTTCTCATGCTTCCCCTTCTCCACTTCTTAAATTCTTAAAAAGCTATAAACTGCATAAGTTCGAGGAACTTAGGTCGTCCATAATATTGCTAATGACCAGCCTTAAACTAGACAACCACTGAAGAACCTGGCCTATGAGCTGAGAAACTTGGGTTCTTTTATGGCTGGCCATTAACGACAAGTGGGGCTGTACCACTGTGCTGGTCACTTGAAGTTCTCTGAGTCACCTGAAAATGAGGGAGTAATTGGAGCCAAAAGAGGTCTGTCATCATAGGCAGCCAATCTAGAATTCTAGAATCCTCCAAATTTAGTTTAATATCACATACTATACTGGGTTACTCAAAACAGTGTCATTCTGGCTGGGGGTGGTGGCTCACGCCTGTAATCCCAACACTTTGGAAGGCCGAGACAGGTGGATCACTTGAGGTCAGGAGTTCCAGACCAGCCTAGCCAACATGGAGAAATCCCTGTCTCTACTGAAAATACAAAAATTAGCCAGCCGTGGTGGCGCACACTTGTAATCCCAACTACTTGGGAGGCTAAGGTGGGAGTATTGCTAGAATCCGAGAGGCGGAGGTTGCAGTGAGCAGACATCACACTACTGCACTCCGGCCTGGGCGGCAGAGCGAGATAACGTCTCAAAAAAAAAAAAAAAGTGTCATTCTGTAAGCTCTTCTAGCCTGCCCAAGTCATAGGCCCTATAAAGGGAAGACTTTCTGCATGCCATCAATGTCTCCTGTCCTACTGAACAGCCCTGAATCTGAAAGGGGATGGTCCCCCACCACCTCTCCACGGACAAATCATAAACATTTAACATTTAAAAAAAATCATCTCCTGTAATTCAACCCAGGCCTCTCATGGCATTACCATTCACATAAGAGAAAGTTGAACCTCAACTGGAAAAGTATATGGTTTGGGGATGTTGTTTTGTTTGTTTGGGTTGTGGAAAAACAGATGTCAGAAAACAAAGTGGATATCAAGATACTAGAACAGTAAGAATTTAGGCCTCGGTCTGCAAACGACATTTGAACATCAATATGTAATAGTAGTTCATGTCCAAAACTCACAAGTGAGATTATCAAACTCCAGGGGAGTCTATTAATGTGGCCATAAAATCTACCCCATAATTTTGACATAACTTTTCCAGCCCAAAATACGACTGACATCATCTTATGGGTCCGGAAATACCATACATCAAGGAAAATTTCTACCGGAGAAATAACACTGTAATCGTTTGGGGAGCAGTCTGACCAGTGTTCCCTGAGTTACGCCAACCGCCCCCAACCATCCTTCCCACCTAATTATTACCAGGTCAGGAGGATGTCCTGCTGCACGCTCAGGCGGTCGCTCCTCCTTTCCACAAGACCCAGGCCCGCACCGTTCGCCCCGGGGCTCCCATGGCCCCCGACCTCCAGTCTCCAGCAACGATGGATCCCCACAGACCAGGCAGGGGGCGAAGGGCGCACACCCACCTCCCGGGAGTCAGTGGGAATAACCCCGGGCGCTCCCAGGATACGTCCCACACCCGGAGCCGCACGGGCCCATCCCCGCCAGGTCTGGGCAGGCAGCCGGAGCCCGGGACCCCGCCTCCCCCGCACCTAGGGTCCCGGCCGAGCTCGACCGCTGAGGTCCCGTTCCCACTCCCACTCCCAGCGCCTCCCCCTGGCGGCGGCGGCCGCCCGGGACGCCCCTCCCCTGGCGCTGCCTCCTCAGAGGGTGACAGCCGCCTGGCCGGGGCCGTACAGAGGCCGGCCCCTCCTCCAGCTCCTCCTCACCCCGGGAGGAGACAGGGGACGGGGATGGGGTTCTTACCAGGCAGCAGGACATGGCAAGGCCCGCCACGGCACAGCCTCCTCCTCCACCATCTCACCAGGCTCCCTGCCAGGCCCGGCGCAGGGCAGCGACTGAGCTACTAGGGCGTCTGGTCCGGCTGCTACTCCGCCGCCGCCGCCGCCTTCTCACAACCACAACAACACTGCAGCAGCGGCCACACAGAGTGCACTCCCGACGCCGAGCCGGGCGACGAGCGGAGACCCGCGCGCACGCTCGGGCGCTGAAGCCGGTGTCCGGGAAAGGGGGCGGGTCTCCGCCTGTTGGACGGGGGCGGGGCCTGGACAGGTGGTCACGCCCCAGGAGATAGGCGGGGCTGCAGCCCAGACGAATACCAGCGGCTGGGGAGAGGCTCGCGAAAAAGACCAGCGGAGGCAGAAGGGCTAGACAGATGGGAATTGGGCGCAGGAAAAGCGATGACAAAAAAAAAATCTGGAAGATAACCAAAGGTGGTCCTACAAATTTTTAGGAGGCGTCTTTCCCTGGGCAAGACATGGCTCACTCTACTTACCAGAAAAATAGAACAACAGTGGTTATCTTTCACCTGCAATTGTGGTCAGGATAAAACCAGTTTAATATAGTGCAAGTAAATGTAGTGTTTTAGAAGATGTATTCAGGATACAATTTCTTTTTTTCGTTTCTTTTTTTTTTTTCTGTCGCCCAGGCTGGAATGCAGTGACATCTCAGCTCACTGCAAACTCCGCCTCCCGGGCTCAAGTGATCCTCCCACCTCAGCCTCCTGAGTAGCTGGGACTACAGGCGCAGAACATCATGCCCCGCCAATTTTTGTATTTTTTGTAGACACGGAGTTTCTGCCATTTTGTCCAGGCTGGTCTCGAACTCCTGGGCTCAAGCAATCCACCCACCTCGGCCTCCCAAAGCGCTGGGATTAAAGGCATGGACCGCCGCACCCGGTCCAGAATACAATTTCAAGCTGATTCAACTTCAGCTCCTAATCAAAAGCTTAGCGGGAAGAAGTGAATTTTCAAACAAAATAAACCCCTCCCCCCAAAATTGTAACCTACCCACATTAGCCTGCAGAATTCCACAAACCAGGATTGCATTACCGCAGGCCCTAACAGATTCACCTCCTCTGAGTTGCCTTTTAACATTCTACCCTTGACTTTTCTGGAAACTGTCTGGGAGAGCTAGTCAAATGAAATCTATTCCTGCATCTGTTGTAAAGTTTTTCCACAGCACTTTCTGAAATTTATTTTCAATGTTTATTGTTTTTTCACTCCACTTAGAATGTAAAAGCTACTTGAAGATAAGGATCTTGTTTGTCTTGTTCACCACTATTTCCCCAGCACCTAGAACTGTGCAGGCTAAGTAGTAGGCAGTCGAATTTCTTGATAGCTGGCTGGGCGCGGTGGCTCACGGCTGTAATCCCAGCACTTTGAGAGGCTGAGGCGGGTGGAACACCTGAGGTCAGGTGTTCGAGACCAGCCTGGCCAGCATGGTGAAAACGCGAATCTACTAAAAATGCAAAAATTAGCCGTGCATGGTGGCGGGTGCCTGTAATCGCAGCTAATTGGGAGGCTGAGGCAGGAGAATAGCTTGAACCTGGGAGGCAGAGGTTGCCATGAGCCAAGATTGCGTCACTGCACTCCAGCCTGGGTGACAGAGCGAGACTCCATCTCAAAAAAAAAAAAAAAAAAAAAAAAAAAAAATAGCTAACATTTATTCATACAACTCATCTAATTGAATCTTCACAACTTTAATAGGTAGACGCCGTTATCTCCATGTTACAGATGAAGAAAGTGAAGCACAGAATAAATTGCATGTATTAAAACAAAATTCAAACCCAAACCCAGCAGACAACAAACAAACAAACACACAAACACACAAAAAACCACTGTACTCTCACCCACCAGGCTGTACTGCCCAGTGCATGACACAGTAGCCTGAAATAAAATCTCAAGTAAGAAATTACTTTAGGCCGGGCACAGTGTCTCATGCTGGAAATCCCAGCACTTTAGGAGGCCAAGGCAGGTGGATTGCTTGAGCTCAGGAGTTCCAGACCAGCCTAGGCAACATGGTGAAATCCCACCTTTACAAAAAATACCAAAAAACTGGCCAGGCATGGTGGTGCGTGCCTGTAGTCCCAGCTATTTGAGAGGCTGAGGTGGGAGGATGGCTTGAGCCTGGGAGGCAGACGTTGTAGTGAGCCCTGATTGTGACTGCACTCCAACTGGGTGTCAGAGCGAGAAAAAAGAAAGAATGAAAGAAATTACTTTAGAGGTAATTCTTGGAAAGCCCTTGCTTTACTACCAGAAAAACCAGTGCACTTCCTGCTTTTTGATAACTCTTATGCAGCTGGTTGTGTCTCTCTTTTCACTCTGGCTTCCAGAAAGCCCAGGGCTAAATGTGAAGCTCAGCAATGACCCCTGCTTGGCCCCTAAGGTCCACTCTTGCCTCGACTTTGCACCTTTATTTATATGTGGCTGTCCTGATTTTCCCTTTGTGTTATATGACGGTAGGCTTTATGGAATGGGAGAAGAAATAGTAAACACATAAAATTGATGAATGACTTAAAGACTTTTATTTTATTTTTGAGACAGAGTTTCGCTCTTGTTGCCCAGGCTGGAGTGCAATGGCAGGAACTTGGCTCACTGCAACGCCTGCCTCCTGGGTTCAAGTGACTCTCCTGCCTCAGCCTCCTGAGTAGCTGGGATTACAGGCATGAGCCACAACAGCCGGTTAATTTTTTGTATTTTTAGTAGAGACAGCGTTTCTCCATATTGGTCAGGCTAGTCTCGAACTCCCGACCACATGTGATCCGCCCGTCTTGGCTTCCCAAAGTGCTGGGATTACAGCTGTGAGCCGCCATTCCCGGCTTATTTTTATTTTTATATTTTATTTTATTTTCACACAAGGTCTCACTCTTGCCCAGGCTGGAGTGGAGTGGCTCACAGCCACCAGGTGATTTGGGCCCACAAGTCACCCTTGCTAAGAGGCAGAGTCCAGAGCAGAAACTGGGTAGATGCCAAAGGCAGCACTCCCTACTCCACACATGGGTTTCTGTCAAGTAAATCACCAGCCAGGTGAGGTGCATACAGCATCTAGGGAGATGGGACACCGTGTTGTCCCCTCCTTCAGCCAGGAGGCCCCACACTGAGCGCCACTGCCTCCACTGTCCGATGCTACAGGAGAAACGTTTCCTGCTGGTTAAGGAAGTAGAAACTGCAGATCACTTTTCATCTTATTGGAAATCACTCTTTGACACTCTTGCCTCATCTTCACTCAGTACACATTGACTCTACCAGCAATAGCGTAAAAATAAACATAGCTTAAGGAAATAGGAATCCTTTATTCCTGGGACTTAAAAGCTTGACTTTCTCCAGTAAGTCAATTACCAGTGCCCACGGCAGGAAGAGCTCTGATGCCAGGGTTGACAGCACGCTGGAAAACCGGAGGAGTGTTTGCATTTCTGGGGCCTCAAGTAATGAGAAGTTCTTCCAAGAACACTGACAGGGGTATTATTGCCCTATTTTAGAATTATTACTCTGAAGATCAGGGAATTTCAGGCGGTTGAACTCATGCCACAGCACCTGTGCTTTTCTGGTAGGGGAGGGATGGAGTCCAGCTCAGGAGTCCCCCGTCATGGGGGAAAGCACTGTGATGGGATGTCTGTGGGGGAATTAGAACCCTATAGCAGATGGGATAGGGTGGGGAGTCTACATATTTTTATTTGGATGTTTTGATGGAGTAAAGTTCCAAACCAAGCAAGTATCAGGCAGGGGGCAGTCCAGGCTGTGGTGCTGTGCTGTGAGGCTGGGAGTCCAGGCAGGTCCTGTGTTCACTGGTCACTTCCACAGCCTGAAGCCCCTCGAAAGGACATCTGCACAGAGGCCCGCTAGTGACTTCAGGATGCTGATGATGCCCTCAAGGTGAGAGCCAGAGAAAATCCCGTCAACTCTGTCAACCAAGGGCATCAATGGCCACGTGTGTGGTTTTCTCCTGCAAAGAACAAGCCAGTTTGCAAACCATGCTTTTGAGGCTAGAAAAATGGCTGTATTCCTTCAGTGTCTCCTGAAGGCTGGGTCCCCTGAGAGTTGATTCAAATACTGTATTCTCGTAAAATATGGTAACATTTAGACCTGAAAAATGGCCTGGGGGATAATCTTATCAAACCTCTGATGTGGTTATTTTGTAACTGAGTATATTGAAGGCTGGGGAACAAAGCCATCTGGTGCCAGCATCCTAGCTGCTCTCTCTCCTCCAGGGGCTTGCCTTGGTTGGGGGCCTTTCCAGCAAAATTAGGCTGAAGAGATGAGATTTTAGTTAAACAAGGCCCACTGTTGCTTTAAGACAAAATGTCAAAGTTTTAAAAAATGTATTAACTTGTTCTTTTGGCCAAGAAATCAATAGATGCACTTCCTTTCCACTGTGCAGGCACTGAGCTGACAGAGGAGTAAGAGCTTGAACCATCTACGTGGTCTGAGTGACCACATCCTTCACTTGGAGCCCTGTTCTACAGCAGATAATTCTGAGTCACCCCAGCTAATGGCTGTGCACAGCATCCTGATGCTCTGATTAGGCTGAGGGGCTTGTGGCGTGGTGGCTAGGCTGTCTCAGAGAGCACCTCAGGCTGGGTGGACCAGGCTGACCCAGAAGAGGGCAATGGGCCTTTGACAGGGACTAGCTGGCTACTATCTGCCTCTTCTGCAGTTTGGGACACTTAGGGTCATGGGTGAAAGTGTTTTTCCACATATGGTGGCCCGAAAGGAAAGGAAACTCATGCCAGTGTTCAGAAAGTGTGCGGGTTTCTCAGGTAACGTTACTGCAACCACTGATGTCTAATCCAAAGAGCTCTGAATGCTTGCCATAGAGATTTGTAGTTTTAATACTGAAGCCCCGAATATTCTGATTTCCTCATTAAGACCGACCTAACATGAGCTATGCAGTCAGCTAAGGTATCAACGGGAGGAAATTGCCAGTGTTTCCCTCTTATTTTCCTCTGAGGTCATCTGAAAACAACCGCAGTGAGGACGGAGTTCGTGCGGCCCTGATGGCTGTGTGTTCCCAGCTCCAAGCATGCACTAAATATTTAATTCATTTGAATATAAATAAGTTAATGAATATGAATACATTAATAAATTAATTGGCATCGTTTTAGTCCTGTTGCAGTTTCAAACTCACCGATTTATCCAACTTCTTTGCACTGAGTTCTTATTCAAGTGAAGTATTCCGGTCTTGTGACTTGTACTTCTGACATAGTAATAGAACAACTAATATTTATTTAGAACTTTAGTTTACCAAGCACTCTACATTTTATTTTATTATTTATTTGTTTATTTTTTTTAGTAGAGACAGGGTTTCACCGAGTTAGCCAGGATGGTCTCGATCTCCTGACCTCGTGATCCACGCTCCTCGGCCTCCTAAAGTGCTGGGATTACAGGCTTGAGCCACCGCGCCCAGCCTACATTTTATTTTTACATTTTGTCTTTACAAACCCCCACGGGGCAGGCATTCTCCTTACACGCAGTGTTAATTGGTGACACAGAGGCTCAGGGGTTTAAATGGTTTCACTGTAAACAATGTAATCTAGTAGGATGTTGCTTTCCTATTTTTCCTAATACTACCATGTTTAGATGTGGGTGGCTGAGTGGGAGTATATGATTTCCTGTGTATGTATAGATGTAACCCACACTCACGGGCGGAAAGTTCTGCAGGCTGAGAAGTGAAGCCCTTTGCTGAACAACCACCAACAACATTCTAGGGCCCCCACACCCTTGGTTCTGCAGGCTATACCCCTCCCATCTGCTTAGAAGCAGAAAGAAAACTCTGCGGTTACTTTTCCCTTTGACAATAAGCCGCGGTTCTCTTCAACGTTCTCCTGGGGACTTGGGTCAATGTTCTCACATGCAAATGTTAGCCAGGCCCAGGGTTATTGTTTCCCCTACCCCTGCGGATTGATCATGGCATGCAACTGCCCCATATTGTATTTTGGTCACCCCCATCGGCATCCCATCTGCTGCTAGTGCCTCTGGCCAGCTTCTCGCATGGTCCTGACACGGTGCTGTCACTCTCACATTATTTGCACACATTGTTTACCTATAGCTGGACACATTGTTCATAGGAGCCCAGCTGGTAAAGTAAAAATATTCCAAGACTGTGCTGATAAGCTACTTCTTCCCTGCATCCTGGGCTGGTGAGAAGCTAAAGAGGAATGAATGCTCTGCCTGTGAAGAGGCCGCACTGCAGAGAAGAGGAGGCAGAGATGCAGTCGTCACGGCCCTAAGACCCTGCCTGGACCCGGTTTTGCAAGTCGAGGGAAGAGTTTTGCACAAATTCTCACTGGGAGCATTGTCAGGGCTGCAGCCACATCACTTTTTTTTGATCTGAGTCCTTTTAACATTAGCTATGATGTCAAAAAAGATGAAATTGAAGTTGCCAACATCTGGTGGAAGGCAAAAACCAGTGAATTTCTACCCAGGGAGAGTTCCTCTGCAGGGTCCCCGCTTCTGGTGGCCTGGAGTTGGGGAGGCCTCTGGAGCAAGTCAGGGGATTAAATTCTGGGTTTTCTTCCATTTTTTTATTTTCCTATTTTGACATCTTTGAAAAATGGCTCAGCCTCATAGTGTATGGGTCTTCTGATTGCTTTTGTCTTGATTTTATTCTGACTGAGGGGCAATGGCCACTGTGGGCTCCTCATCCAGGATGAAGAGGGCCCCTCTGCGGCCTGGGTGCATCCATGCTCTTCACGGTGGCCTCATGGATCGTCATACAAAGGATGATCTCAGTGATGAGCTTGAGCCTACCCAAAATTAAATTATATGGGTTTATAAGATTCCTCCTCAGGATCAGTATCATCAGGCCTGTCCCTGCTGGTAGCAAGGCCATCTTTATAATGTGCTGTCATGGTGGTAAAGGCATCACTCACTTGATGGAGATCCCAAAGACCAGCTCTACTCGAGAGAGATTTAAGCTAAGTTGCCTGGGAGTCCTTGGTGCTTTTTCGAGGTTCTACTGAAGACAATGCCATCATCCAAGTATCTCTGAATGCCAACGTAGCTCTTGCCTCAGGAGCTCTGAGACCCATGTTATCTATTTTTGAACTGGCCAAGGCCCCCCACAGCAAGGAAAGGGATGCTCTTCCCATCCTTGTCAGCCCTCGTGTCTTGTATTCCACCCCACAGCCTCCTAGCAAGCATCTCAGTGTCTGCAGGTGAGCATGGCTGAGTTCAGTCTTGCTTACTGCAACTGTAGACATGAGGTCTGTGGAAGTAAGAATCCTCTCATTTGCTGACTGGCATTTTGTTTAAGTCCCATGTCACTAATCTCTGGCGAGACAATCCTCTTTGTGTTTCCTGGTGATGGACTTGAGTGATTTCAATGTAAACAGTGGCTCCACCTGGGAGTGTATCCCCTTCCCATGGGGAGGGGGTGCATAGCCCCTGCCAGGTTTCTGCTGTCCTCTCATCCTCCCACTGGGCTTTTCCCCTGCCCACACTGCCTGCAAATGGTCACTCTTGCTTGTCCCAACACCACCTCCACTGCAGCTTCCAAGAGCCCTAGAAGGGCCGGGCCCTGGCTGAGCACTATTCCTAGGCCCTGGATGGCGGGTGTGGAACTATGTTCTCATCAAGGTCATTTCCTCTTCTATTTTCATCATGTTAAGTAAATCCCTCTCTCATCATGAAATGCCCTGGAGAGAACAGATGCATAGCTGTGGAGTCTTGTTCTGGGATATGTCAGGTACCGGCTCAGGTGTGTGGAGGCTACAGGGGGTGGACATGAGTGGTCTTTCTCTCGCTGTGAATCACATGTTTTGTGCCAGCCCAAGGGTTCTGTGAAGGAGAATCAGCCGTTTACCTGGCTGAGTCTAACCCTGGGATGGCGACAGCCGAAACCCCAGCTCCATTCCCTGACCTTCCCTAGGCTGCCGCATGGGTTCCCTGGCACTGTCACTGGGCTAATGCCTTCTGTCTCCTCCTGGGGTGAGGCCAGCCTTTACTCATAGTTTCTGCCCATTCCACATCATTCTGCCTCCCACCCTTGGCTTTTTCAAAAATCTGAGCCAAGCGTGTGCAAGGGGTTAGAAACATGCTGTCCACAGGGAACTAAAATACACTGAGATGAGAAACCAGCAGCACCTGCTTTGGAGCTGTCACACCTGGGAACTGAGAAGCAAACTCTCAGAGATGCCTGGAAACCTTGGGAGCACATGAGTTCTCTGCATATATTTCGGTTGCAGATGAGTTTCTAGTCAAAGTAAAAAACACATGAAGGGCATTCATGTTTCCAGGAACAGAAGCATCCTGTCTGATTTTTCAGAGGTGAAGGGAGCAGTCTGAAGGGGCCGTGGCATAAGTATGTCTACAATCAAAGCTCACAGCCAAGGCCCTGGGGGAGGTTCAGGTGTACCCCAGGGGGTGCGCCCCATCCAGCACTCCACTGACAGGGGCCTCGTCTTTATTAAATTCTAGGCCTTTTCCTGGGCACTAGTTACAAAAGGTGGGTTCAATGAACCCTAGGTTCTGTGGCTGCCACCCATCTCAGGGTCACACAGGTAATGATTGCCACCCCCTCCACCTTCTGCTGAGGGTCCTGGTGACCCCCTGGTGGTGTAACCCAGGCCCTCACCCCTAAGGGGTCCTGAGCCTTGCTCACCACAGAGTCCTTGGTCTAGGGCTCCCGCACTTGTCCACATGCCATCAAATGCTGTGTACCGGGAGGTACTTGCGTGGAGCCCCTCCTTCCCCAGGCAGCACAGCCCTGCTTCTGCTAACACCACGGTCCAGGTGGTACCCATTTTTCTGCCTGCAGGTCCCATGGAGGAGTAGCCTGAGGACAAAGCAGCACCCGGAGCTTGTTTTTTCAGAGAACCTGGCCCAGCCCTGGCTAGAAGCCCCACAACTGTGGAAACCAGGGCCTCCTGCTTTTCAGAGCCTAGATATGCAGGATATAGATGCCCCTCAGAGGTCCTGGCTGTGAGGTGGAAGGTTGGGGGACACTGGGCTTCCTACTGCTGTGCTCCCATTGCCACATCTTCTACCTGGTGGGACAAGGCAGCTAGCAAAGGTGACAGATTCACCCAGACACTGTGTCCTCCCACATCCTGACCTGGCACCTGAGCCACCACTGCTGGGTCTGAAGCTCCCAGGAGTGTGTGTGTGCTGTGACCAGCAGACCTATGGCATGTGCCCTCTTCCTCCCTCTGTGGTGTGAAATCAGTTCCTCTGATGGTGTCATGTGAGGTCTTTGTCCTGATGGGTAGAACTTTCTATAAACCATCCCATGGCCCCGGGGAAAGGCAAGCTCATCCCTTCAGGTTTAGCTGTTTCTGTTAAATGCAACCCTGTCCTTCCCAGGGCATCAGGGCCCCGTGCAGTTGTCCCAGCCTGGCAGGAAGTCCCCTTGAGGATTGTGTGGAGGGCGCAGCCTGGGCCTGACTCGTGACCCTGGCAAAGAGCAGGTGAGCCCTGGGGCTGACCACCTGCACTTCCTGTTTGGTGGTGGGAGATGTGGGGCAATATTTCTTGCATTTCCTTTAGAGAGCATCTCCCAGCCTGCCCAGACAACCAGACCCCTAAACATGTGACTTGTAGGCAGGGCCTGGCTCTCTGTGGTGCTTTTCTGTCTCCTCCAAGCACCTGTGACTCCCAGGCTTCCAGCCCTGCCAGCTTCCCCCATCTGAGCTCCTGATGCAGGGTGAGGACTGTATTGTGGCAGACAGCATGCCGGTTTACACAGTTCTGGGACGAAACTGTAGGTATACATTATTTTATGTCCCGAGTAAATGAATCCTATTTATGGATACTTTTTTTGACACAGAGGGAAGAAAGGCATTGGTGAGATCCACGGGCCAGAGCTCAGCCTGTGCTCAGGCTCTGGCAGCAGCTGTGCAGCTCTGGAGCTGTTGCAGAGTGGGGAGGTGCTGTGTCTTTGCTCCCTGTGTTAAAGGCTTCATTTGTGTCTTTGTTCAGTTTGTTTTCTTTGACCCCTGTTCAGCAATACTGAAAATCAAGCATTCCTAAGAGGTGGAGACTTTGCTTTGGAGCAGGGGCGGGGGCATTGGGTGGAAATGGGGAATAGCTTGATAGTGGGAATTTCATTTTCTGGAGCTCACGTGCAGCCTCTTGATGGCCTCGTCACAAGTTCACCTGATGACCTGAGTGGCCACTGTCCTTCTCCTGAGTGAGTTATGTGCTTGCCAGGCACATGAGCAGTGCATGCTCACATTTTTCAAATGAAGGAACTGAGAAGGGTTTGTCAGCAGATTGTAAGCCTGAAGCTGCCAGTGTTTGGTCCACAGTAAACCACATGTGGAGAGCTTAAAAAAATTGCCCTCAAATCTGGCAAGAAAATGACAGTAATAAATTAAATTATTACTGTGATACACATGTTTCTTTCATTACAATTAGATATATTACACATATCCCAATTTTGCAGAAGTTTATCATCTATCAGTATTTATTTATTTTTTTTTGCATAAGTTTCCAAGGAATCCTAATGATGGGGACTGTCTCTTTTAAAATTAAATTGTGTAAATAACTCCCAGAGCCATGCTGGTAAGAAACAAAACAAAACAAAAAGAACTAGAAACATGAACAAACATTGGATTTCTGCTGTAAAGAGGATGCAAAGCAGGCCTGCCTGCTGCACCTCCCCAGAGCTAATCCTTGAGCCAAAAGAGCTTCCTGGTGAAGCCTCGCACTCTCTGTAACAGGGCGTGGGGGGACCAAGACATGCGGGCTCCAGATTAGACCATCTTTACCTAGTTATGGGATTTCAGTCATGTCTTTTAAATTCTTTGAGCTGCAGTTTTCACATATGTAAAGTGAAAGTATTTTTAAAATTTTAATTTGTGTTATGACCTTGTATAAAGTTAAAATAGTACATTTGAAAGCATTGTAGCTGAAGTCAAACGTTCACGTGTGTGCATGCAATGGCTTCTTAATTATTTTAGGGCTTAACCTGGTTTTACTGGTACTGTTACTAGCACTGCTACTTCTCCATGTCTCTGAAGACTATGAAATACTTAGAACTTAAGCAACAAGAAGCACCTGTCAAAGCGTTCTATGGCCGATGACAGATTTGACACAGCTGGATATAGTAATATGTTCGATGGTGCCCAGATCATTGCTAAGCAGAGACTTCATGCTATTCTAAGTCGAAAGTGTCCCTAGAATTCTGAACCTGCTGAAGCAGCCTTCAGAACTGAAGTTGAGAAAAGTACATTTTCTTTTTTTTATTATTATTATTATACTTTAAGTTTTAGGGTACATGTGCACAATGTGCAGGTTAGTTACATATGTATACATGTGCCATGCTGGTGCGCTGCACCCACTAACCCGTCATCTAGCATTAGGTATATCTCCCAATGCTAACCCTCCACCCTCCCCCCACCCCACAACAGTCCCCAGAGTGTGATGTTCCCCTTCCTGTGTCCATGTGTTCTCATTGTTCAATTCCCACCTATGAGTGAGAATATGCGGTGTTTGATTTTTTGTTCTTGCGATAGTTTGCTGAGAATGATGATTTCCAATTTCATCCATGTCCCTACAAAGGACATGAACTCATCATTTTTTATGGCTGCATAGCATTCCATGGTGTATATGTGCCACATTTTCTTAATTCAGTCTATCATTGTTGGACATTGTTGGTTCCAAGTCTTTGCTATCGTGAATAGTGCCGCAATAAACATACGTGTGCATGTCTCTTTATAGCAGCATGATTTATAGTCCTTTGGGTATATACCCAGTATTTTCAGTTAAAGAAAGTCTGAGAGACCGTGTTGCCATCACACCCAAACCCCAATAAATAAACTTGTTCAGGATGAAGAAAAATAACAGTTGGAAATTCTACTTCACAGAAAAGATGAAAGTGTGCCAAAAATAGTAAATATGTGGAGGGGAAATTACTGTTTTAATGACATCCTCCAGGAATTACAACATGTACAAAAGAAAAATCTATGACAACATGGCACAAAAGATGAGAGGATGGTAAGGTAAGGTTTTTATATTTTATATACAGTGTTATGATATTTAATATACATTAAGTATTTATATTTTAATTTCTGAACAACTCACCAAAAATAAATAAATGAAACAAAGAGTCATAGTTAAAAAAAAAACAAGGTACAAAATCCATACTAAAAAAAAACAAAAAGAAAACCCCATAAAACAAACAAACAAACCAAAACTACCATAATCCAGAAGAAGATGAGGAAGGCGGAACAGAGACTGTCAAAATAAGTAAAAAGGAAACCTCAATAACCACTTTTAAAACGAAATACACTTATGAGATAAAGATATAAATAGATTTGAACTGAAAAGATGGACAAATATACACTATACAAATCTTTGTTATCAAAAACTGCAGCCAGTGTATTAATGGCAGATAAGACAGACTACAAGAAAGACAAGCATCACCAGGGATAAAGAAGGATGTTTTATACTAATAAGTCCATTTGCTTAGAAAACCTAATAAGCATAAGCATGCATACACCTAAGAAAAATAACAAAATACATGAAGCAAAAGTTATTGAATTAAAATGATAAATGCATAAATCCACAATTTGACAATTCTAATTCTTATATCTCAGAAATTAATAGAAAAAAAACTACAACAATAAGACTACAAGGTATTAATAGGAGAGATTATAACCAGAGCACTGGGAGAAAAACAGCAATATCCAATATGCTTACAACTATTGGTTGACAACTCAAAAGTTCCCAAAAGAATTTTTGACACTAAATAAAGGTAAATAGCCTGGAAAACCTACAAGCCAGCATAGGAAGGAAGTGGAAAATGAAACATTGATTGAAAATAAATCTGGAAGTCCGGGCGCAGTGGCTCATGCCTGTAATCCCAGCACTTTGGGAGGCCAAGATGGGTGGATCACCTGAGGTTGGGAGTTCGAGACCAGCCTGACCAACATGGAGAAACTCTGTCTGTACTAAAAATACAAAATTAGCTGGGTATGGTGGTGCATGCCTGTAACCCCAGCTACTTGGAGGCTGTGGTAGAAGAATTGCTTGAACCCGAGAGGCAGAGGTTGTCGTGAGCCAAGATCTCCCATTGCACTCCAGCCTTGGCAACAGGAGCGAAACTCTGTCCCCCAAAAAAAAGAAGAAAAGAAAAGAAATCTGAAAAAAGGAAAAGAGAATTGAGGATAAAGCTTTGCAAATACAAAATCCAAAAATCAAATGATAGAAATAAGTTCAAATATATCACTTTTTCCTACCAAACATAGAGGGATTAACCTCATATATTAAAATACAAAATTATCAATAACTAAGCAGCACTTTCAAATTAAAGAAATTAAAAATTAAATATTTTATAAAAATTTTAAGTAAATATTCACAGAAAGCAAGCTGCTATCACAAAATTAATTTTAGTTTAAATAAAATTTAAGGAAGAAATAATAAACAACAAGATTGACACTGCACATGGAGGGACCATAGAACCGGGTAGGTGAACCAACGTCAAGTCCAATGCTGGCCTCACCTCCAGGACATACAAAGAAACTAACAGGATAGAGCAGGTCTAGAGAGGGACACTGGAACTCATACTTCTGAATTTAAATGGGAAATAGACAAAGATGTTATGTGTTTATAAAAGGTTTTAAATCACAACAAATGCTGAATGTACATCACTTTCTAGTATATGTAATACTTACCAAATGGGACCCATATTAGGTTGCAAAAGAAATTACAAAAACCCGGAGATAGGGACCAAAGGACTGAAAGAAGTCAGAACAAAAAACACGCCCCATGTATTTTAGGGAAAAACAGCACAGTGATTTAATGGTAAATCACTATAAACATGAAGGCATTCACCTAGAATAGAGATGAGATGCCAGAGTTCAAGACGACAACATGTGTCAGCCTGACTTTCTGAATGACTGCACAGGCAAGGCTGCCATCCATGGAAGCGCAGAAAAGGACACCCCTTAGGTCCTGGATGGAGGAGGATGACCCCCAATACTGGATAGAGAAAGATGCCCTCCAATTCTGGGATGGAGAAGGATGCCCCCCAGTCCTGGATGGAAAAGGATGCCCCCTAGTCCTTGATGGAGAAGGATGCCCCCTAGTTACTAGATGGAGAATGATGTCCCCTGAGTCCTGGATGGAGAAGGATGGTCCCCCAAGTCCTCGATAGAGAAAGATGGTCGTCCAAGTCCTGGATGGAGAAGGATGCCCCCCTCAGTCCTGGATGGAGAAGGATGCCCCCTAGTTACTGGATGGAAAAAGATGTCCCCCAAGTCCTGGATGGAGAAGGATGCTCCCCAATTCCTGAATGGAGAAGGATGCCCCCTAGTTCTACATGGAGAAGGACAAACCCAGTCCTGAATGGAGAAGGATAACCCCCCAGTCCTGGATGAAGAAGGATGCCCCCCAAGTCCTATATGGAGAAGGACAAACCCCAGTCCTGGATGGAGAAGGATGCCCCCCAAGTCCTATATGGAGAAGGACAAACCCCAGTCCTGGATGGAGAAGGATGCCCCCCCAAGTCCTATATGGAGAAGGACAAACCCCAGTCCTGGATAGAGAAGGATGCCCCCCAAGTCCTAAATGGAGAAGGATGCCTCCAAAGTCCAGATGAAGAAGAATTTCCCCCACTCCTGAATGGAATAGGATCCCCTTCAAGTCCTGGGTGGATAAGACACCTCCCAAGTCCTGGGTGGAGAAGGACACCCCTCAGGTCCTGGATGGAGAAAAGATGCCCCCTAGGTCCTGGATGGAGAAGGATGTTCCCCAAGTTCTGCTTGGAGAAGGTGGCTCTGGGGACCTCATGGGGAAGGATGCCCCTTTTCCAGCCTCCCCATCCATACTTATCCTGACTTGTTAGTGTAGAACAAAGAGATTTGGAGGAAGAAACACAGGACTAAACTTTAGTCAGAATGTTTTCCTTTTAATCAACATTTTATAAATTCTAATTTTTATTTGATAAAAATAAGTGAAATGTATGACATAAACACAGTGTAACAACCGATTAGACCTATTTTTCCGATCTGAGTCCTGGCTACCGGCTCTATTAGTCATTCTACTTTTCTGTATTTGTAAAGCTTCTCAAAATTAAAGATAAAAGAGTTTATTGCTAGTAACATGTATAAATAGACATTGAATAAAATGTGGCTCTTTAAAAATTAGTTTATTCTATGGGCTTCTTTTGAAAGGTTATGGTGTACTAAAATTACTGGTGGATCTTTATTACAAGCTCACTGGTAAAAATAGTCAATATGGGAATATTCTAATTTGTTAGAAATTAGTGTTGAGTGAGTATTAATCAAAACTTTAAAACCAAAATACATGGACATAAGAATAAATTATTCGACTTAATTATCCACTGACTTTAAATTCTAATTGCTAAATTTACTTTTTGCCCATTTCACCTCCTTCAAATCTCCAAGTAACTCTTCATTTTTCTCTCCTGTCAATATTTTATTCTCCCTTATTTTTTTTTCTATTTCCTGATTTTTTGAACAACTCCAAGGGAGTTGTGTTTTGCTTGTGTTGAATGACGTCATTACACCAACCCGTTAGGCAACTAGAACGTCACCAAGGTGAGCACTAGGAGACTTCAGACCACGGAGCCTCTCCTGATTTTTGACTCAGGTTACCTGGCAACTGTGTTTAAATTATGAGTTGTTTAATTTTTTTAGATCCCCTATAGATAAAGAAGGATTTTTAATAACCATCAATTTAAAATGCACTGGGACACTTCATGACTGACATTTCTTGCAGTTTCTGTGCTGTGGCCTCATGAGTAACTGTCTGTAAGGAACATCATGTTCCTCATTCTGCCCTTGCTCCTTGGGCTCCAAAGGGAAAGACCAGAAATTCTGTGGATATAAAACATGGAAACATTCATTCTTTAAAGGAAAAGGCGGTAAAGCAGAGATGAGGAAAGGATGGTATTGAATACATGCAAATGGATAAAACATGAATGATCATGTTCTCATGTTCAACTCAATTTTTAAAAGTGGATGTATGAGCAGTGCGAGCATTTAGTCAGGGCATGGTGGGCCTGTGGGCTAGAACAAGAGGCCACACTCAAGGAGAGATGGCACTCACGACGGGGGGCCTCTGCTCCTTTATGACTCCCCTTCCTCAGTGACCCAGAGCACCCTCCTATCACAGCCTGTAGGGGAGAGGAAGGTGTTAGGGCACTTTGAATCACAGCGGAGTGTGTGTCTACATGCTCTCCTCACATGCCACAAATCTGCATCGCTTTACAATATTTCAATAGATTATGAGTAAGGAAGATCGCTGCAGAACCAGTAAAAGCTGCCCTCCCAGACAATGCGCTAAATTGGGTTTTACAAAGTATTGTGAGAGATCTCGGGAGAGGGGGAGCAACCTGCTCATAGATTTTGCCAAAATCAACATTTAAACACCTCCGTTAGGCAGAAGAGCAGCGTTACTGGAATTAGTTAGCAGTTCTTTCCTGCTGGACATCTCTCAGCCTCCAGACCCTACAGAGAAGAGGCCATGACCTAAAAGCAGTTTAAAAGCTTGAAAAAATAGAAGCTAAGGATTAAGCAAATATCGAAATTTAGAAAAGGAGAGAAGACTTTATTTCTTGTAGAGGGTTACAGCCTGCAAGGTGGCCACCCCACAGGCTGGGAAGAACAGCCTCCTGCCGAGACCAGAGATGGGCACTTCCAGGAGGAGGGGTTGGGGCAGGAGCTTTGGGGTGAAAAGGTTGGCTAAAGATACACAGTCATCAGGAGACAGGCATAACAACATAAAACCAGTTGTAGGTAACACAGAATGATTCTGATATTGATGTTCAATTCCACACACTAACAGACGTGAGAACCTCATTCACCGCACGTGGAGAAGGCACTGTATCTGCTCCGTGGTGGTCCCGATGACTTGTGTTTATCATTGCCTGGGTCTGCATTTTCTCTTCTCTAGATTTTGCTTATCCTGCAAAGTTTGTGCTGGGACATCATTTCTAGGATTGAGTTTAAGCTGAGCCTCAGAGTTTTTATTGCAGCTACGGTGGATATGGCTTGGTTCCCTGCAGTACTCTCTGGAAAGTACCTTCCTCCGTTTGAAATCCCTGACGTGGTACCTCCTACAGCCTGCACAGCTCTGGCCTCTGCCATGGGTCTCATGGCCTCTTCTGCTAAAACTAGAGAGGAGGTTCATCCCCTGCCTCTTTATAGAGAAGAGCCACTTGCTGACTGAGCTGAAAAGGGACTCCCCACTGAGCAGGCTCACCAGTGTCCCGACAGCCGGGCAGATCATGGGGACGGGGAATTCTGAGCAGAACCTCTTCAGAAGTTGAGTCTCAAGGGGCCTTGGGGAACTTGGTCAGCAGATGGCAAGACTTCATCTGTCAGTGGGCGGGTCAGCTCAGCGGGACTCCTGTCTTTGGAACTGAGACTCAAGTCTCTACTCTGTACCAAGACAGAGATGGAGGCCAGGAAACAAGACACACAACCATTTTCCATCATCGAGGGGCAAGGCAGGGCTTGGCATGAGGCAGAACCAGGCTCCATCAATGCCACATGTCAGGAGGAACCTCTTTTCTGTTTCAATCCCTCCTGCCCATTTGTGGGAGGCATTAGAGAGGCCTGACATAGTTTTTTTTCTCCACAGCCTGAGGACGTGATAGGATTTCATTCCCGCCCCACCTTGTGGTTGGATGGAATCATGTGCCCAATTCTGGTCAAGATCAAGAAACTGAGGTATCATTTTTGTTTGTGTGGGACCAGGAAAATGGCTCTAATTTGGCTTTGTGTTTGTGCATGTGTGTGAGAACGGACAGGTAAATGTGTGTAATGGAGAGTGGGTAGGTGAGTGTGTACATGTGTGAGAGTGTGTATGTGAGTTGTGTGAATGTTTGTGAAGAAATGTGTGATAGTGGTGTTTGAACTTGGCAGTATGAGTGTGTATGTGGAATATAACTGTGTGCGGATGTGTAAATATGAGTGCATATGTGTGTTAATGTGTGTAAGTGTGTGAATAAGCCATGTGAGTGTGGTGTGTGAGCTTGGGTCCATGAGTGTGTGTGCGTGTCTGTGTGAGCATGACAGAGTGTGTGAGTTTGGGGTGTGTGCAGGCCACAGCCAGTCCCTCCTGGGGTACTAGATCTTTCCAACCCAAGCACCTCAAGTCGTTCTCCTTCCTCACTCCATCCTGAGCTTCCCAGCCAACTGCCTCTCATCCAAACTCCCACAGGGAAACAGTCCCTGGGACTAGGGGCTCTGAGCATGGCACAGTGCCAAGTCTCCTCCCTGGCCACCTCCTGAGAACCTGGGTGTAGCACAAAACAGTCAAATATGTTCCTCTTCTGTCATCACTAACTAGAGCTCCACAGCTTCCCAGATTGCCCTGTTAGCTCTTCACCATAATTAGCTATTTTCTGATATCATACTAACATTCCTTAATTATTCCCTCAGAAACAAAGCAAATCCGTGGGATGCAGAGGGTACGCTGATGACTTCTGCTGGGGAGAGAAGCCCAAACACACGTCCTGGGCAGAGCCCAGAGACCTGGAGTGTGGCTGCCAGTGGGCACCCGGCTGAGGGACAAGCAGGTGGGCCTCAGTGGTGGCTGCCAGGTCCCTGGACGCAGGGGGCCACCGGCTTTGCCTCTCCTCTGCCTCGGAAGCACCGGAGGCTTTGGGGATCTGGTGGTCCTCCGGCCCTGAACGTGGACCTGGTGTGACAAAGGGAAGTTTGCCATCTCCATCCTCCTCAAGCTGCCTGTGCACCCCAGTAGCACTCACCCTCTCTGTGCTCCCGTCTGCACCGCATGTCCTGGGGTCCTTCTTTGTGCTGCACCCAGTGACAGGAACCAGTGTCCCGACTGTGACTTACTTCCCCCCTCAGGGACACACAAGGACTTTCACATCGAGGCTACTTTTCACCCCTTCTGCCTCCTGCAGGGACGCTGCATGCAGAGGCAGGAGGACAGAGGGGCTGGTCTCAGGTGTGGCTTCTCTCATACCTGGCGCAGGTGGCCACTCCCCTTCCCCCCCCACTCCCCCACCCCACCTCAGCTCCCGGGTGTGAATGAGAAAGGGGAACCAAGAGATCATCATTACATGGGACATGCCACAAACCCCAAAAAGACCCATTTGGTGAAAAGAAGTAAAACAACCACAAGGCTATTTTGGCCTGAGGTGGTCTCATGGCTGAAGCAGCCGCTGGTCTCTTGCCTGGGCTACTCAAATAGTAACCCGGTGTGTCCTCCCATGTGCATTTTCCTTCGGGTTGAGCAAAAACACTTTGTCATCCTCCCACTCCTCAATAGAGCAGAAGGGAATGAAAGGCAACTACAGGGCCTTACAGAGCTGCTCCGGGGGCCGCGGGAAACTTATCAGCATCCTAGAAAAGACAAAACCAGTGGGTTGCATGTGGCCTCTGACACCTGCCACCCTGACTGCAGGGAGTGGCCTCCCCCACCTTTCACCTTCCCATCATTAGTAAGCAAAGTGACCCCCTACGCCTGGACAAAGCGCTCAAAAGCCCAGGCCCGCGGGTTAGCTCCAGCCGCTCGGCTTGACAGGGGCCAGGGAGGCGGGCCAGCCCCACAGCCAAGTCACAGCTCCAGGGCCTGGTCGCACCTGAGCAGCGCGGCCTCGGGCTGCTGCTGGCGCTGCAGGATCCGCGCCTGACCCTCCAGCCTGCGCAGCGGGCACTCGGCCGGGAAGCACCTCTCCAGCAGGCGGCTCAGCACCACGTTCACGCGCCCGCGCCTGTGGCCGCGCGGGCCCCAGCTCCACTTAGCGCTCACAGACCGTGAGCCCGCAGGGCAGCGTCACAGGCTTGTGCAGCAGCCGTGGGCAGCCAAGCAGGTCGCGGGGCGCGCCGGGCGCCAGGGCCGGCCCTCCCTAGCCCTGAGCTCGCCGCCAGGCTTCCCCGCCAACAGTGGCCGTTCGCGCAGGCCGGGACACACCAGGCCGCCCGCCAGCTCCCCCAGCTCCTCCGGACTCAGCGCCTCCAACCTCCCGGCTACATGGAACGCGCCCAGGGCCACCGGGAGGCGGCCGGCGCGGGCCAGCGCGTCCCCCAGCCTCAGGCACCGGCCGCGGTCGGGCTGCGCCAGCAGGGCCAGCATGGAGCGGAAGAGCCCGGCGCTTTCTGGTACTTGCTCGCGCGGAAGGCCTCGTCGCCCTCCTCCAAGCGGTGGGCGCTTGGCTTCCCGCAGCAGCAGCCCGACACTGGGGCGGCGGCGGCGGGACCGGCTCAGTGCTGATTCTCGCGGGGCTGCGACCGTGCGGGCCTGGAGCGAAGGCGCGGAGCAGGGGCGATGAGCTGCTGCTGGGAACTGGCCGGCGGGAGCGCGGCCACAGCCTTCGCCTGCAGAACCAAAAAAACGGTTTTAAAAATCTTTTTAACATCCGCAGAACGTGAAGAATTACATTGGAAATTGGTTAGAGATTGTATTGGACCTATAGATTGATTTGAGTATGATGGTCATTTTAACAGTATTAACACTTCTAATTCAAAAAATGGGATAACCTTGTCTTTACTTGTATCTTTTCAATTGATTTTTATCAATGTTTTATAGTTTTCATTTTAGACGTCTTTATTTTGCCAGGCATTTTTTTTATAGCTATTTTCAATGGGGATTCCTTTTTCAGATAGTATGCTGTTGGGTATAGAAATGCATCTGATTTTTCTATGCTGATTTTGTATTCTAAAACTTTACTGTATTCATTTACTGTTTCTGTTTTTCAGTATAGGGTCTTTTATACATATGACATGATCTATGTCATCTGCAAACAGGGACAATTTGACTTTCTTTTTGTTTTTCAATTTGGATGTCTTTTCTTTCTCTTTTCTAATTGCTCTAGCTAGGACTTCCAGTGCTATGTTGAAGAGAAGTTATTAAAGTGAACATCCTTGTCTTGTTCTTGATCTTAGAGACACAGTTTTCAATTTTTCCTTATTCAGTATCATGTTGGCTGTGGGTTATCACATATGGCCTTTATTTTATTGAGTTATACTCTTTTTATAACTGATTTGTTAAGAGATCTTATGTTTACAAAAAACATTGAATTTTGTCAAATGCTTTTTCTGTATCTATTTAAATGATTATATGATTTTTATCTTACCTTAGCGAATGTGGTGTATCACATTTATTGATTTATATATCATAAGCCCTCCTTGCCTCCCTGGAACAAATACAGCCTGATTATGGTGAATCATCTTTTTAATGTGCTTTCAAATTATGATTGCTAGCATTGCTGGTTTTGAATTTTTGCATTTATGTTCATCACTGATATTGGCCTGTAGTTTAGTTTTTCACTGTTCTTGTCGCATTTTGGAATAAGGTAATTCTGTCTTCATAGAATGAGTTTGGAAGAGTTTCCTCCTTTTCACTTTTTTTGGAACAGTTTGTAAATAATTAGTATATGTTCCTCTTTAAATGTTTTGAAGAATTCAGCAGTATAAGCATTGGATCCTCGATTTTTATTTTCTTCTCCTTCCCTCCCTTCCTTCCTTCCTCCCTCCCTCCCTCCCTCTGTCTCTCTTTTCTTCCTCTTTCTTTCTTTCTTTTTCTTCTTCTTCTTAAATATTTTTGGTTTAGAGACATGGTCTTTCTTTGTCACTCAGGCTGGAGTACAGTGGTGCAATCATAGCTCACTGCAGCCTCAAATTCCTGGTCTTAAGTGATCCTCCTGCCTCAGCCTCCCAAGTTGTTAGGACTGCAAGTGCACACCACTAAACCTGGATAATTTTTATTTTTATTTTTGTAAAGACTGGGTCTCACTATGTTCCCCAGGCTAATCTGGAAATTCTGGCTTCAAGTAATCCTCCTGCCTTGGCCTCCAAAGTGTGAGATGACATGTGTGAGACACTGTGCCAGCCCTCCAGATTTTCTTGTATTGAGAGACAATGCTTCAATCTCTTTATTTGTTATTGGTCTGTTCGCATTTTGTATTTCTTAATTCTTCAATTTTGATAGGTTATATGTGTTCAGAAACGTATTTATTTCTTCTAGGTTTTCTAATTTATTGGCATATAATTTTAGTACTTTCTCATGATTCTTTGTATTTCTGTAGTAACCATTTTAATGTCTTTTTTCATCTCTCATTTTATTTATGTGAATCTTCTCTCTTTTTTCTTAATCTGACTAAAGATATATCAATTGCGTTTATCTTTTCAAAAAATAACTTTTTATTTCATTGATCTTTCATATTTTTGTCTCCATTTTGTTTATTTGTGCTCTGGTCTTCATTATCTATATTCTTTTACCAATTTGGGGCTAAGTTTGTTCACGTTTCTATAATTCCTTGAAATGCATTCTTAAATTATTAATGAGAGTTTTCTTTCTTTCATATAGAAATTTATTTCTACAAACTTCCCTCTGAGGACTTTTTCTGCTGTATTTCGTAAGTTTTTATATGTTCTGATTTCATTTTCATTTGTCTTAAGAATTTTTAAAATGAAACAAAATTTATTTTTTAACCCATTGTTTGTTTAGGGGCACGTTGTTTAATTTGTATGTATTTGCACAATTTCTGAAGTTCTTGTTGTTTATTTCTAGTTTTATTCTATATTGTCAGAAAAGATGTGATATAATTTTGATTTTTTTTTGAATTTGCTAAGGCTCATTTTGTGCCTAGTATATGATCTATCATGGAAAATGTTCCATGCGCAGTAGAGAAGACTGTGAATTATGCAATTGTTGGATAACATGTTCTGTAAATGACTGCTAAGTTATTTGGTCTAGAGTTCACTTTAAATATGATGTTTCTTTGTTGATTTTATGTCTTGATAATCTGTTTATTGCTGAAAGTAGAATGTTACTATTATTTTATTGCTTGCTGTTTCTCCTGTTAGATCTATTAACATTTGTTTTATATATTTAGGTCCTTCAATATAGAGGGCATATATATTTACAATTATATTATCTTGTGATATTGATCCCTTTATCATTATATAATGGCTGTATTTGTCTGTTTTTATAGGATTTTGTTTGAAGTATATGTTATCTGATATAAATATATCTATACTGGCTTTCTTTCGGTTTCCATATTTATAAAATATATTTTTCCATCTGATCACTTTCAATTTATGTGTGTATTTACAGATGAAGTGAATTTCCTGTAGAAAGTTTATAGTTAGGTCTTGTTTTTAATCAGTGTAGCCATTATATGTCTTAAATGGGATAATCCATTTACATACAAGATAATTGTTGATAGGCAAGGACTTGGTTCTGCCATATTATTACTTGTTTTCATGTTTTTTTTAATTTGTACTTTGATTGATTGATTTCTCTATCTTCCTTTGTGATTAAGTGCTTTACTCTATCAGTGTGTTTCGGTTTTTTTTTTTTTAATTTTTAGAGTATCTTTTAAAAGTTTTTGCTTTGTGGTTACCACAAGGCATGCAAAGAACATTTTGTGGTTACAATAAGTTATTTTAAAGAGATAGCAACTTAATTTTGATTCAAAAAGAGGGGAAAAGAAACCACTCTACTCTTTAACTCCATCACTCCCTCACATTTTGCATTTTTGATGTCTTAATTTACATCTTTGTATATTGCTATTCCTTAACAAATTATTGTAATTATTATTATTTTATTTGTATTGTTTTTTAACCTTCCTACTAAGGATATATAAGTGCTTTACATCCAATTATTACCATATTAGAGCATTCCAAATTTGTCTGAATCCTCACTTCTACCTGTGGGTTTATACCTTCAGATTTTTTGTGTTACATATTGCTGCCATTTTCTTTCAGTTTGGAGAACAATATTTAGCGTTTCTTGTAAGGCTGGTTTGATTACAATGAATTCCTTTGCTTTTTGTTTGTCTGAGAATGTTTCAATCTCTCCTTTATTTCTAAATGATAGCTATGCTGGATACTTTATTCATGGTTGACAGTTTTTTTAATTCAGCACTTGAATCTATTATCCTACTCTCTCCTGGCCTGTAGTGCTTCTGCTGAGAAGTCTGCTGCCAGGCATATTGGAATTCTCTTATGTGTTGTTTCCCTTTTCTTAGTCCTTTCAGGGTCTTCTCTTTGTGTTTGACATTTGAGAGTTTAATTATAAAATGTCTTTGGTTGTCTTATTCAGATTAAATATGATTGGGCACTTTGACCATCCTAAACATTTTAATCTTTCTCCAGGTTTAAAAAGTTTTCTGTTATTTCTTTGAATAAACTATCTCCTTTTCATTCTTAGTTCCCCTTTAACACCAATGATATGTAGATTTGCTCTTTTGTTGGTGTCCCACAAATCTCATAAACTTTCTTTGTTTCTTTTCATTCTTTTTTTCATTCTACTCTGACCATGTATTTTCAAAGAGCCTGTCTTTGAGCTCACTGTTTCTTTCTTCTGCTTGATCAGTTCTTCTGTTGATGCCTTCCGTTGGATTTTCAATGTGTTAATTGAACTTTCCTGCTTCAGGATTTACATGTGATTTTTCCCATTATTTTGATTTCTTTGTTGAATTTCTCTGGTAAATTTCTGAATTATGTCTCTGCTTTCTCAGTGTTCAGGCTCTTCTTAAAACAGCCATTTTGAATTCTTTGCCTGCCAGATCATTCATCTGTATGTCTTTAAGTTCAGTTGCTGACACCTTGTTTTGTCCATTTGGAGAGGCAACTTTTCCTAAGCTATCATTATTATATGTAGATATACATCTCTGTCTACACATTGATGAATTAGATATTTATTTGTGTCTTCTCAGTCTGGGTTTGTTTGTGACTACTTTTAAGTGGGCTTATTAGGAAATGTTGAGCGGACTTACCATCGTATTCCATTTTAGCATTAGAGAGAGTCCAAATCCCACGTTAGACATAAGTCTTCCAATGGCTCCACCACTGCTGCAACATTTGCTGGATGGGCCCATGGGTGATCCACAGGGAGCCCCTGGCTATGGGGGAGAACAAGTCAGGCCGTCAAGCGTGTAGTCTGTGTATTATGTTTCACATGGTGGCTGTTGCTGGCCCCACCTCCTCTTATGTCCTTAACATGCCTCAGGTGGTTCATCCCTTTTGGCACTCATGGTGCCACTTGTGGGCTGATACAGGAGTGAGTCTACTGTGAAGGCACTCAGTATAGTGGAAAAAACAAATATCAACCTCCTGCTGACTTTTTTCAGTGTAAAAACTATAAGCCCTATGGGAGTTTCTGCAGATGGTACCATAATGGCCTGAGGGAGGAGTATCACAGTCACAGAGTATTGGTTCTCTCACTCTGTAAGCCATGGTTTTACCCATCTTCACAGGCCAAAGGTGCTTCATAACCTTGTTCATGTATTGAGGTTCTGTTGGCTCTTGTAATGGTAATTTCACATGTGGACAGTTGTTCATATTGATGTTTCTATAGGGGTATGATAGCTGGAGAGGTCTGCACCACTGTCTTGCTCTGCCTCGATCATTATTTTTTTCTAACAAGAATTTGTCTCCTCCTAGTTTTTCTTTTTCTCTTAACCGACCTAGGTATAGCCTTTTAATCCTTCTCCCTCCTCTGCTTCTAATGTCATTGCTTCTTTGTATGCCTATCATATCTACATGCTACATGACCTTCAGCTGGTTATGTATAATATATAAGACTTAATATCCTATAAAATAGAGGTAATAATAGCATCTACTTGATAGGAAAGTTAAGAATATTAAATGACACCATTGATGTTAAATGGAGGTAACTTTCTGAAATGTATTAATGAGACATGATTCTTTGTTCTAGTCCACTTCGTAGACTAGACTACTTTGTTTGAGTTTTCTCTTTTCAGTCAGAGAAAGCAATAAAATTGTAATGGTAAAAATTAAATAAAATTTAACTTAAAATTGTGTTCTGGTCTTCTCATTGTTCAGCCGTGGAAAGCAATAAAATTGTGATAGCAGAAATTAAAAGTGAGCAGAGACTTATTTAAAAATTGGTATTCTCCTTTTCAATGCCAAAATAAGAACTAGAAACTTTTAATAAGGCAACAGTCTGAAGAAACAATTTATTGAAGAGAATATGGGTTTCTAAATCCTAACAAGTTTTTTTACGTATGTGAGTCAAGTTTGGCTGCCTTGAATCCTATTATGACTTTAATGGAAGTTCTAGTTAGGGTGGAAAGTGTCAAAGAAAACAGTTGCACCAGACAAAGTTAAACACATAAAAAAGCTGTTATTGAAGACTATTGCAAAAGGGCAAAGAGGCCAGAACTTAGTCTGAACTCAGCTCCGCTGAAACAAACAGCAGTAGAGATTTTAAGAGCCAGGATGAGGGGGAGATCATAGACCACTTGTCTTTGATAGTTGTCTTTTTCCAAAGGAATATTAAACTATCTTTCATCTTTATGACAGAAGGTGATTTTACAAATTAGAGGAATATGCCCACCAAAATTTGGCTCTTACTCTCTCATGGAGTCTGGGAGATAATGGTGTTATCTTTTTTGAGAATTACATTTCAAAGGGATGGCTCTGAGGTCCTTGAAATGGACATTTCTGAAGTGTAAAACTGGCACGTGGGCTCTTAGAAAGATTTATCAAAGAGGCAGAGAAAGAATTTACAATGATAACATTTCTAAAATATGCTAAAGAAAAAAAGAGGTGAGGAGCCAAGAATCAGAAATAATCCTGTCTAAAAATTTTATCAAACTGAGGGGATGGCTTTAGTCAAAGGTTTAGTGTAAGGGGAATTTCTGTGAAGAAGAGGAAGAGAAGAGCTTTTAACTACACAGGAAGAAGAAAGTTCCCAGGAGATGTGACTATGGCTCTGCCTGTGTCTCTGATCAGGTATTCAGCCCCAACATCCTCCTGGGACTCGCTCAAACAGATGGATAGGAAAAAATAGACAGTTAAAGAAAGATGAGAAAATATGCAGGCTGGTGTCTTACTTCTCTAGTGCACATAGGGTGTCCCAGGAATGACAGAGTGGCAGGACAGGGGGAAGTGCCTGAGAGATCAGTTCCCTTACTCTCAGCCTGTGAGTGCTGTCTGAAAAGCCAGTCTCTCCAAGCTTGGTGGAAGGGGGACTCACACCTGGTTTGACAGGACCAGTGGAGGCCCCTGGTGGGACATGCTGGCCTCAGAATGTGAGGTCTTGGAGGCTAGAGGAAAATGGCAGTGCGTGACCAGAAACTTCATCACTGAGTGCCAATACATGCAAAATCAAAGAGAAGATGAGCCATGTCAGCAGATATCAGTGAAGCATGCCCAGAGAAGACTCCACTGACCATACACAGCACAGACCAGCCTGTTCCGGAGGACAGTGCAAATGGCACGCCACAGCAACAGAGGCGACTTCGACCCCGCCCACGCCATCAGCAGCTCGGACCCTAGGGTCAGATACCACCACAGAGGCTAATTCCAGTGGTCGCCCCGCATCTCAGGAAGACGGGAACCTGCACTCAGCACCATCCCCGTGGCTGCACAGGGCCCAGGACTCGTAACCCGGCGCTCTGGGTGCGGGCCAAGAAAGAGCGTAACCTAGGGTGGCATGTCGGTGAACTCGGCGACCCTCTGACAACCTGGGAGCAGCCCCAACAGCCTCAGTTGTGGGCTCAGCTGCAACTGCCACCTGCCGATGGTGCACGGGAGCAGCAGCGGCAACCCTCGACCCTGTCCCCGCCACCAGCAGCACGGACAGCAGGGCCAGATAGCGCCGCGGCGCCTAAGACCTTAGGCCACGCAGCTGCAGGAGGACGTGAAACGGGCGCTGACCGCCCCCCAGAAGCTATGCAATCCCCAGCGCAGGCGAGTCCTCACTCTGGGCGCGGGCCAAAGATCAGACACTACGATGAAAGGACGGTGAACTTGGTGACCCTGAGGCTCGCAATGGGTTTAGCAGCAGCTGCCAACTGCAACCAACCCTGACCCTGCCCGCGTCACCAGCAGCAGTAACCCAGGGCCAGATGCCGCCTCAGCGGCTAATTCAGGTAATCGTCCTCCAGCTGCAGCAGGGCGGAAATCCGCTGCTCAGCCCCACCTCGGCGGCTGCACAGAGCCCAGCGCCCGCACAACCCGCTCTTGGTAAGGGCAAAGGAAGAGCGGACCTAGGGTGGGAGGACCCTGCACTCCCTGACCCTCAGGCCGTCTGGGGCCAGCCCTGCCAGCCTCTGTCTAAAGCTACGCTGCAACTGCTACCTGCTCATGGCGCGCAGCGGTGGCAAACCGGGACTCCGCCCGCCGACACCAGCGGCCTCGAAACCCTAGAGACAGACTCCACCTAGTGGCCAAAATCAGGCAGTCGGCCCACAGCTGTAGGAGAGCGGGAACCTGCCCTTCAGCGGATTCCTGGAGGCTGCACAGTGCCCAGCGCCAGCCACCCGGATCTGGGCGCGGGCAAATGACCCTCAGGCCGTCTGAGACCGGACCAGCCCTGCAGCCTCAGCGGTGGGCTCAGGGGCGACTGCCACGTGCACATGGTGAACTATAGCAGCTGTGGCAGCCCCCGACCCTGTGCAAGCCACCGGCAGTGCGGACCCCATGACCAAAAGCCGCCGCGGCGCATAACTCAGGCGGTCGGCCCCCCAGCAGCCAGAGGGCGGAAACTTGCAGCTTAGCCCATCCCAGCGCCTGCACTGTGCTCAGCGCCTGCAATCCCACTCTCTGGGAGCGGGCAAGGAAGACTGGACCTTAGGGTGGGAGGGCGGTGCATTCGGGGACCCTCAAGGCTTCTGGAATAAGCCCTTCCAGCCTCCGCTGCGGGTTCAGCTGCAGCTGCCAGCTGCACACTCCTGGAAGCAGCAGCGGTGGCAGCTCTGGTCTCTGCCAGCTCCAGCAGCAGCGCGGACCGCCGAGCCAGAGGTCACTGCGGCGCCTGTTAGGAGGTTGGCCTCTCAGCTGCAGGAGGGCGGGAATCTGCACCCAACCAGATCCTCATGGCTGCACAGTGTCCAACGCCCACGACCCTGCAATTTGGGCGCCGGCCTAGGAATAACGGACCCTGGGGTGGAAGGGCGGTGCACTCAGCCACCCTTAGGCAACCTCATACCAGCCCTGACAGCATCTGCCTGGGACTCAGCTGCAGCTGGCACCTGCGCATGGCGCACGGCAGTAGTAGTGGCAGCCCTGACCCTGCCCTCAGACACCAGCAGCAAAGACCCTAGGGCCGGATGCCTCCAAGGCATCTAAGTCAGGTGGTCGGTCCCATAGCGCTGGGGATTGCAGCGGTCGCCCGCTGCAGCGGGGCGGAAATCGGCTGCTCAGCCCCATAGCAGCTGTGGCAGCCCTCATCTCTGTCCATGCCACCAGTAGCACGTACCCCAGGGTCAGATACTGCGGTGGCGCCTAATTCAGACTGTAGCTGCAGCAGGGCAGGACTCCGCCGCTCAGCCCCATCCTGGAGGCTGCTCAGAGTCTAGCGCTCGTACACCGCGTCCTGGGAGCAGGCTAAGGAAGAGCAGACCCTAGGGTGGTAGGGCGATGCACCCAGAGACCCTCAGGGTGTCTGGGACCAGCCCTGCCGGTCTCTGCCACGCGCTCAGCTGCAGCTACCACCGCCAGGTGGCTCCCGGCAGCAGCGGTGGAAACCCCGCTGACCTTGCCAGCCAACAGCAGTGAGGATACCACGGCTGGATCCCTTGCCAGGGCGGGAACCTGCCGCTCAGCATATTCTGGGCAGCTGCACAGGGCCCAGCGCCTGAAACCCCGGGCTCTGGGCTCGGGCCAAGGAAGAGTGGACCCTAGGCTGGGAGGGCGGTGCACTCGGCGATCCTCACGCTTTCTAGGACCAACCCTGCCGGCGTCTACTGAGAACTCAGCTACAGCTGCCACCTGTACAAGGGCGCCGCAGCAGCAGAGCAACCGGGCACTTTGCCTGCACCACTAAGAGCCAGGACACCGGGGACAACGCCGCCTCAGCGCCTAATTCAGGCACTCAGCCCAGCAGCTGCAGCAGGGCAGCAACCTTTGCCCTCGGCCGAAGCACCTTGGCTGCACAGTTCCCGGTGCCCGCGACCCGGAACTCTGGGCGCAGGCAAAAGAAGAGCGTACACTAGGCTGGGACAGTGGTCCACTCCATGACCCTGAGGCTGTCTGGGAAACTCCTTGTCAGGTGATGGGCCCAGCTGCAGCAGCCAGCTGCACATGGCGCGCGCAGCAGCCTTGGAGGCAACCCCAGACCAGGCTCCTACACCAGCCAGGCGGATCCCAGGGCCAGACGCCGCCCACCGGCTAATTCAGCTGGTCAGACCCCAGCTGCAGGAGGGCGGGAGCCGGCCGCTCAGCCATTTCCTGGCTGCTGCCCTGTACCCAGCGCTTGCACACCCCGCTGTGGGCTCCGGCAAGAAAGAGCTGACTCTAGGGTGAAAGGGCCCTGCACTCAGAGACCCCCAGGCTGTCTGGGACCAGCCCTGCCTGCCTCTGATGTAGGTTCAGCTGCAGTGGTAACCTGCACAAGGCGCGCAGCAGCAGCTGTGGCAAACTCCGACCCTGCCAGTGCCACCAGCAGTGCGGACCCTTGGGCCAGAAGCCTCCACAGCGCCTAAGTCAGGGTGTTGGTCCCCAGCTGCAGGAGGGCAGGAACTGGCACTCAGCCCCACCTCAGAGGCTGCATGATGCCCAGAGCCAGGGCCCAGCTCTTCTAGCGCAGGTTGTGGAGGGGCCAGGGGCCACCCAGACTGGAGGGCAGTGTCATGATCACAGCTCACTGAAGCCTCAACCTCCCAGTTTCAAGCTATCGTCTCACCTCAGCCTCCTGAGTAGCTGGTAGCTGGGACTGCAGGCGGGTGCCATCATGTCTGGCTATTATATTTTATATACATTTTGGAGAGACAGTGTCTCACCATGTTGCCCAGCAGGTCTTGAACGCCTGGAGTTCAAGCGATTCTCCCAACTTGACCTTCCTCAGTGGTGGTGGTGGGATTATATGTGTGAGCCACTGTGCCCTACCTGCCGCTTTCTTATAAGGATACTTGTCATTGGATTTAGGGCCCATCCTAATCCAAGATGAGATGCCCTCATCTCGAGGTGCTGGATTTAATTACATCTGCAGATTGTTTTCCAAATAAAGGTACATTCACATGTTCCAGGTAGACATATCTTTTGATAGACCACCATGCAATCCACTCTAGGAGTATTAAAGTGCCAGTGTGGACCGAGGCACCAAAGAATCACATTATTATGTCATATAACTTGCCTTATTTGTAGTGACCCGTGGGCTTGGAAACAGAACCATTTGCAGCTGTCAGGGAAGTGCACAGTGCCTGACCTTTCCTGCAGCCTCCTCCCCACTGGGCTTCCATGAGAGGATCACCCCTTGGAGTGTCCAGAGATTCCTGTTAAATGCTAAAGACCACAGGAGAGTTTGAGCGGGGGAAGATGTTTGGGGAGCAACTTAGTTGTCCTGAGGTGCCCATCACCCTTCACCGTTTCAGCAATATGGATCTTCCAAGGCTCTGGGAATGGGAACCAGGCATAAGACAGATACATGTGAGTGAGAAGAGGCCAGAGTCTTTCTCTGTGTAGGCACCATCCAGCCCAAGATGAGCATTGTTCCAGAAACACATGCACTCATGATGCTAAACCCAATCTATTGAGGACTTAATACAAACTGTGATTTTTTTAAGCATTTAATTCTTACCACAGTCCTTTGTCATCTTATTATCTCCATTTTACAGATAAAGAAACAGGCACAGAGGGTTTAAGTAACATGTACAAGGTCACACAATCACAACTAGTAAAGCCAGGATTAAAGTCCAGTCAGTCTGCATTCAAAGCCTGTGCTCCTGCCCCAAAATGACAAGTAATGACTTAAAGGCAAGAAAAACACACTCTCCTCTACCCACCATCCTCATACAGACTTCCAGCCCAGGATCTAAACCATTCATTCATTTGCTCTCATATTCATTCATTCATTCATTCATTCAGTTCTTCATCACACATTTAGTGAAGCTCTGTCATGGAATGTCCAAACAGAAGGTACAAAAATGAGGCAGGTATATTTTCTCCCATCTAAAGGGGGATGACCACGTGAAGAGAACTGATGGGCTGTGTGTCCCATGGCCTTACAGGGCAGTGGTGGAGGGTGGCCCAGGTCATCCACTCTCTGGGGAGGCAGAACCAGAAGCACCAGTTGGACAACTGCTAAAGAGATGTTTGTGCAGCCTCATATGTTAAGTCCTATATTTTGAAAGCTTTTTAAATTTTTTCTTTAAGATTTTAGATGCTTACCACTGAGTACCAGAGGGATGTAGCCTGATGCCCTTATCAACAAAGTCAGGGATGGTGGCACACAAGGTTTGACTACTGCATACACGGTCACAGTGCTACCCCCAGATAGCCTGATTTCCCCTGCCTTCTCTGGTGGGGAGAAGGGCTGGCAGAGCCATTAGCATGGGCTTCAGCCAATCCTGGCCACTTTGATGCTCCTGGTGCTGACCCAGGGTCCTGGAGGATGGGCTGAGGCGGCGGGGTAGAGATGTTCAGGGCAGTGGCCCCTTTCCATCCACACTGGAACTATTTCAGTATTTTACCACCAATTCGGCTATTCCCTTATCGGCTGGCTGAACATCGGCCCTGCTCCAGGTCTCAGTTTCCCCTTTGTAAAGGGAAAGCCCTGGATTCAGGGGTGACTAGGTCATCATGGTCTTGAGATTCCAGGCCTGTAGGCAGGGGGAGAGAGGTTCACTAGGAGTGCAGAAGACCAAGGTTGGGGAGAGGCAGAGGAGAGAGTGGCCTCCCTTTGGCCCAGGTGGGAGATTCACAGAGACAACCTTCCTTCTTCTCCAAGGCAGGACTTGTTAACAGTGAGCTTCAGGCAGTCTGGCACTTGGGACTAACTAGGATGTCACCCTCCCTGCAGCCTCCACTCCATAGACAACATGAGAGGAGTGTGTAAGTATAACTAGGAACAGGCTAGTGTCCTGATATTCTCTGTGATAGAGGGGACAGCCCTCCTCAGAGACCCGGGGGAGCCCAGAACCATGGACAGCCTGAACACACTTTACTTTCTCAGCAGTGGCAACCAGAACCCTAGCCTACTAAAGCCGAAATTAAAAGGAGAAAAACCTAAATTCCTGCCTGTACCAGGCTGACTCACATCAAGGCCCTGCTAGGACTAAGCTAACTTTATATACAAGGCCAAGCAGAGCCCAGAAGGAATGGACTCCAGGAACAGGGATGAGAAGAACAAGTTCTTCTTATCAGCTTCCCCCTTTGAGATTCTTTCCTAGGCCAGTATCTCTTTGCTCTGCTCTCATAACTATTTTTGTAACTATTTCTGTAAGTTTGTAAGGATTTTGTAAGTTCCTGTTTTCCATCTGTGCAACACTGAGAAGGTCACAAGACATGTCTGAGCAAGCCTAAAATAGTAACCATCTGCTGAGGGCCTGCTGGACGGCCCAGCAGAGGTCACCAGGCATGTTTGAGTCATACACCTGTCACTGTTTGATTAACTGCCTTTGTTCTGCTTCTGTAAGCTTGCTAAGCCCACCCTGTGAGTTTCACGCAGCTGCATGCTTAAAAACCAGGCCCCATCTTTGTTCCAGGCTCAGCCTTTTGGATGCGAATCTACTAGGCCAGTGGCCACTTTAATAAAATCCTCCTGTCTCATCCATTGGTCTCTCCAGTCTCTTGAATCCCGCAACACTACAATGGCTCCAAGACAGCATGTGGGATCTAAGTAATAACTTTTTATTTTTTTTATTTTTTTTATTTTTGTACAAGACTGGGTCTGGCTTTTTCACCCAGGCTGGAGTGCAGTGGTGCAATCACAGCTCACTGCAGCCACCTCCTGGTCTCAAGCCACCCTCCCACCTTAGCCTCCTAAGTAACTTAGGACTACAGTTGTATACCACTATGGTTGGCTAATTTTTGTATTTTTTGCAGAGACAAGGTCTCACTGTATTGCTCAGGCTGGTTTCAAATTCTTGAGCTCAAGAGATTTACTAGTCTCAGCCTTCCAAAGTGCTAGGATTACAGGCACGAGACACCGTTCCTGGCCAGTAATTTTGTTTTATTATATTAAGGTGAGGTTTATACCACATTCTTCTGGTTACAGAAGTAATACATGCTCATTGTATACACTGAAAAATGTAAGCAGTATAAAGAAGAAAATAAAAAAGGATATGAAAATCACTAGTGGTCCCATTGCCTACCGTAACATTATGTGCTGCTTCTTAATCTTTACTTCCTCTCCCTCCGTGTGTGTCTTTGTGTGTGTGTGTCTGTCTGTGTGGTTTTTTGTTTGTTTTTTTGGCACATAGTACAATAGCTGACATTTATATCTTCCCGACCAGTGTTGAGCATGGTGTTAAGCAATTGACAAAGTGTATTGTATTTAACTCCTACAGAAAACCTAAAAAGGGGAAGGGCAGTATAATTAATAGAATTTTCCAGATGAAAAGACTGGGGCCTGAGTTGAGGTTACATTTTATATATGGCATTATATTGTACTTCAGACATGTAACATAGTAAGTGTCCTGGAGAATCTTGGTCTGTTAGTCTGTATAATAACATAAGCATCTTTTGTGGGATTAATAGTTTTTCCAAAGCATGCCTGGGATGTTTGCATAATATTCTAGTGTTTAAATATGTTGCTTATTGCCAGGTGTGGTGGCTCATGCCTGTAATCCCAGCATTTTGGGAGTTCGAGACAGATGGATTGCCTGAGCTCAGGAGTTTGAGTCCAGCCTAGGCAACACGGTGAAACCCCATCTCTACTAAAATACAAAAAAATAGTGAGGCGTGGTTGGTGTGCCTGTATTCCCAGCTACTTGGGAGGCTGAAACAGGAGCATTGCTTGAACCTGGGAGAAGGATTTTGCAGTGAGCTCAGATCGTGGCACTGCACCCCAGTCTGAGCAACAGAGTGAGACCCCATCTAAAAAAAATGTTGTTTATCAAACCATTTTCATCTTTGAAACATTTCAGGTCTCTTCTTTGGCTTTTTCGCATTATTAATAATACTGTGATAAACATCCTTCAGCAGAAACCTTCATAGGCTAGCTTCCTAGAAGTAGAGGTATTAGGTCCAAGGTTTTGAATTGTTTTAAAGCTATTGATTTATCTGGATAAAATTGCTTCCAGAGATATTGTCCCATTTTGCTTTCCAATCAGTGGATCTCACCTTCAGTATTTTGTGCAATTAAAAAAAATAATGTTTCTCCTTTTAAAGATTATATTTAAAATAGCTTTTAAATATGAAAAATTTGTATCTACAAATAAGAGATAGTGACAAAAAATAAATAATAAAATAAACACAAGAGCAGAAAGTAGATTGAAACATTAAAATTCAAATCACAGGCCTCTGTTATGGAGAAGACAGCTGCAATAGCTTTTCTGTTCTTTTATCTACATTGGTAGGTTCTTCTTTTAATTAATTTTTACCCCAACTTAAGTGCTGGCTGGTTTGGCAATTTGTTGCTGGGATGGAAAGAAGAAATGTGCACCTTGTCTTTTTCAGGTTATGAGAGCCTTGTCTGTCCTTGTGGTTGTGTGGGTGTCTGTTAGATTATTGTGAATACTGAGCTTTGAAAATAACCTAACAGTCAATCAATTGCTGAGCTTCTATTACCAGTAGTGGGACATAATGTACATCATGTAGATAGGCAGGCTTGTCACTGACAAGGGGGCTGACCCCTGGAAAACCAGCACAGAGCCAGCTCTTCTGTGTGAATCCACTCTCTCCAGAATATACCATAAGTCATGGAAAGAAATAAGAGTCTCAGGAAATGAGACTCTTACCGCGATGAGAGGTGAACCTTGAAATCTATTTTAGCAATTAGGAAGAGAAGTCCCATTTCGCATCCCAAATCAAGTAGAGGCCTGCTAGTCCAAACATAGTTTCTGAATAACCTGAGTCACCTGGGCCCTGAGGAATCCTGGCCTCTTAGTCCACATTTGCAGAAATATCAGGAGGTCAATCAGGAAGCTGGTTAGGCAGCTCAACACAGGGTCAGAAAGCTCCTAGGTATGCAAATAAATGTGCACACTGGAAATTGAGTTCTGTAATTTTTCCATGACCTAGAAAACTATGATGATGAAAATGTTCTACATTCATGCTGCCTAGTTCAGTAGCCACTAGCCACATGTGGCTATTGAGTAATTGAGATGTGGCTAGTACAAGTGACCAGCTAATGTTAAATTTTGTTTTATTTGAATTAATTTTAATTTTAATAGTCACCTGTGGCTATTGGCTACTGCACTGGATAGCACAGAGATGAGAAATAATAGAAACCTTTTTTGTTGTTGTTTCAATGGCTAACATTGTCAAAAGCTGAATTCCTGTTTTATGTAAAATTTTGGTTTATATTTTCTCAAAGAAGGGAAGTACAAAAAACAAAACAAAACAAAACAAAACAAAAGGATGATCAAGCAGAACTTTGGTAAGGAAGGGTGAAGCAGAGACACTTAACTCAGAGTGGGGAAAACAGCAATGACCTTGTTTGAAATGCAGCTCCTGTCTATGTGGCTCTCTGTGCTCTGTTGGGGTGTCAGTTCTTTACTTCTTAGTTAAAGCAGTTATTTCGGCGGTGCAATGCATTTTTGTTCAATAAGCATGACTTTTTACACAGCTGGTTTATCTCCAGTATGGAAACTCTCTGCTTAATCATCTTGATTTCTCTGGGCTTGTTCCTACTCTGCAGATTTAAGCATGACACTTGTATCTCTCTCTCCAGGCTCTGATCTAGGATGACAGCGTCTATGATGTGCCCATCTACAGAAATATGCAAATTGCAAATTTAGGAGGATTAAAAGAGGGCCCTGCAAAAGGCATCTACAGGCCCCATGTGCTGTTCACCTTTCTTATTTATTGGTGAAGTGAGTCCTCATCCATTTATTGGGCAGTTGCAAGCAAAGGAATTAACTATGACAATTCACCTTGATGTACAACAATTTAGTCTGTTTGGAGTTTCCACTGTTGGAAAAAACCTAGTTATCCTAATTAAGAACAGTTACAGATAGTATAGTGATAGCTTTTTTTTTTTTTTTTTTTTTTTTTTTTGAGACAGGGTCTTGCTCTGTCACTCAGATTGGAGTGGAGTAGCATGATCATGGCTCACTGCAGCCTCAACCTCCCTGGGCACAGTGATTCTCCCACCTCAGTCTCCTGAGTAACTGGGAATACAAGCACATGCCACCATGCCTGAATATTTTTTCTATTTTGTTTTGTTTTATTTGTTTTGTTTCGTTTTGTAGAGATGGGGTTTTGCCATGTCACCTAGGCTGGTATTGAACTTCTGGACTCAAGTGATCCTCTCTCCTCAGCCTCCCAAAGTACTGGGATTACAGGTGTGAACCAGCATGCCATGCCTATAGTGATACCTTTAAGTAACCCTCTCTTTTCTTCTTTTGGGCAATTTTTCAAAGCAACAGGCACTTTATTAAATAAGAAAGTTGATGTGCTTTCCTAATGCCTGCTAATAAAGTAAAGAACCAAGGAACCTCTGTGATTTCAATGAAATCCCTCCAGATGTTATAGGCTACTTGTTACAGACAGGTATGGTAGGAACTGTGGTCAAGCTGTGATAGGCAAATAGATCTTGCTGAGGAGGAAGAATGATTGGCTAAGATAATGTCCCAGGACAGCTGGCATACCTTTAGACACAGCTAAATTGAATGCTTTCTGAGGATGAGTGTATTAGTCTGTCTCACATGCTATAAAGACATACCTGAGAATGGGTAATTGAAAAAGAAAAGAGATTGAATTGGCTCACAGTTCTGTGGGCTGTACAGACTTATGCTTATAGGGAAGCCTCAGGAAACTTACAATCATGGCAGAAGGTGAAAAGGAAGCAAGCACATATTCACATGGCTGAAACGAGTCAGGGGAGGTGCTTTTTAACTTTTTAAACAAGCAGATCTTAGGATAACTTTATCATCAGACAGCACTAGGGGGATGAGGCTAAACCATTAGAAACCACCTCCATGATGCAAACACCTTCTACTAAGCCTCTCCTCCAACACTGGCAATTACAATTCCACATCAGATTGGGGATGGGGGGGTGCACAAATCCAAACCATATCAAGAAGCATGTTAAAAATTGAGGGAAGTTCTAATCAAATGACAAGTCAGGACACGGCATTCCATCAACATAACACTCCTCTCAATACATTCCAAAATGGGAGAAAGGAAAAAGTGCAAGGATGAAGAAGGGACACAGCAAAATGACAAGATGACTAACAAGATGACCCTTGTGGAAAGCATTTACTGATTCAACAACCAAATAATGAAGACAATAGAGCAAATTTGCTGAGTTTCTATGCTCTTTATGTTTATTAGGGAAGGGCAAAAGCCAGTCCCTCGACATTGTTACTGTTAATTAACATCATCACTGCCTGCTCTTAAGTGTCTAGATACTTTCAAGAATCTAGTATTATCTTCACTTAAATGTTTCTTGGATGTGCCCTGTCATGCATGTGATATTGCAAAAAGATTCTACATTAACCACAGCAAGATGGCTATGTAATAATTGGGATCACTTTAGGGGAGCATATTTCTACCACATTTTGAGATGGAAAATGAAGTAAAGATATCCATTTGTCAATTTCTTCCACATTATGCCAAACATTCAAAGAGATTATTTTATTTATTTCAAAGATGTACACATGTTGAAATTAAAATTTAAATTAAGAAAATTTATAAACTGAGTCAAAAGAAAAGTAAGCGAGGCAGTTCTGCATGCCCTGAAGTGTCAGGCATATATGACTAAAGTATTCGGCATTTGGCCAGGTGTGGTAGCTCATGCTGTCATTCCAGGATGTTGAGAGGCTGAGGCAGGTGGATTGCTTGAGCTCAGAACTTTGAGACCAAGCAAGGCAACATGGTGGAACCCTATCTCTATGAAAAATATGAAAATTAGCCAAGCATGGTGGTGCTCGCCTTTTCATACCAGCTACTGGAAAGGCTAAGGTGAGAGGATCATTTGAACCCAGGAGGTCAAGGCTGCAGTAAGCTCTGGTTGCACCACTGCACTCCAACCTGGGTGCAAGAGGGGGACCCTCTGCCCAGGACTCTTGGGATATGACTATACCCATAGGGACTGCCCGCAGTAACCTCACATTTGAGTGGAAGTGGAGATCATATGTACCTGTACCAATATGTAGTGAAAAAGGAAAACATAAGAAATCATGGCAGAAATGGCACAAAGTATAAAAGAGGCTTGGTGTAATTGAGAGAGGCATTCTGGTGATAAAATTTGAACTGATTTCTGGAGAATGGGTTGAATTCCAATAGAGGGAGATGGACCAAAGTTAACTCTGATGAGGGAAATGTCTTGAGCAAAATCTAGAAAAGGGAAACATGCTCATTTTAAGTGTTAATGAGGGTCCAGTTGGGGTACAGTGCAGGAAGAGAGTTCTAGTGAAAAGGTAGTTGGTCTGATAGGACAGGGTCTTGCAGGCAGAGGCAGATACTATCATTATTCCATTGTTCAGGTTGGAAAACAGACACAGAGAGCCCAAGGTCGCAAAGCCAGAAAGTGAATCTGGGCAGTCTAGTGGTAGCACCCTCTTCTTAAATGATCTATTAAAGGGCCTCTTCTCCAGGCACTCTAAAACTCTTCTCCATCTTTAGCTCCCCCAGAGTACAGTGAGGCCCCCTGTCTACCTCACAGGATGGGGTCTCAGAAAAGCAACAGATCCCAACTCATACTAGCTTTTAAATAAAAAAAAAAAAAAACCTTGCAAAACAAGAAGTGCAGAGGTTGGGAGAGAGCCAGCACTGGTTAATTCAGCAGCTCAACAATAAATCCAAGACCTGGGTATTGGTTCACCTCTCCACACCACCATCCTCATGGGCCAGCTTCTACCTCCTCCTGAATGCTGTGTCTTTGCCTAGTTTTCTCCCTGATTTTAGCTCAAGTGCTGCTTCCTGGGGGCAACCTTTCCTGCCTCCCTCTTGGGGTCAGTCCACCTTCCCAGGCTCTTGCAGCATCCCTGGGTCTGCTGAACTTTCCCTTGTTACATAATTCTGTGACTAACATCACCTCTTTCTGTTAGACTCTCAGCTCCACTAGAGAAGAAATTCTGTGCATTTTTGCTCACTATTGAACCCTGGAGTCTACTACTCAAATATTTGTCAAATGAGTAAATGGTAGCTCTGTGCAGGGCCAAGGAACACAAGAACCACAAGAAACATGCAATCTGCCAAAATACTCATTACAGCTCACTCTCCTCTGGTGACATTTCCCTGAGGCACATTCCTGTTGGTTTCTTCCCCTCAAGAAGCATTCTTCTTTCTCCTTCCTATAAAAGCCAGGATTTTCTCAGATAGCCACACCATGCCCCATGCAAAGAGATTTGGATTATTCTATCATCTTGAGGCATTTCTGTGGAAACTGCTGTCAGTCCAGGTGGCCCATGACCTAAGCTGACCCAAGCCGACTGAAGGGAGGACGTATTCTATGCACCCTATGCAGTTCCACAGGGTGCTGGTTGTCCCGGCTGCTGCTGGTGGTCTTCATGTAGCCAAGGTATCACTAGTGCATATGGAGAAAACAGAGCAACTGGAGAGAAACCGAGTAGGTAAAAGTGGGCAGGGCTTGGTGATGTTTGGGGATATGATATGAGGGATAAGACAGAGGATGGTCTTAGGAAAATCTCCTGTATTTTCCTTTTGGACAATGGTATAAATGAATAAAAGTTCCAATCACTGGGATAGAAAACACTTGGAAAATATGAGATTCATTCAGGCAAGCCTTTCATACACTATTCCATAATCAGTTTCATAAGTGAAAGGGAGTCAGAACTCATTTCTACCTTGTTTGCTTCTATCATACTGTGTTGTACCCTGTTGGATCTACTTATCACATTCCTCCTGCTAGTGGACTTACCTGCTAATGTTTGCACTTCTGCCTTGCCAGCATGGAACCTCTGAGACAGCAGGAGCAGTGTGTGTGCATGCATGTGTGTGTGCACTTTTGTGTGTGTGTGTGTGTGTGTAATTGGATTCCCCACAGCACATTATTGTTTTATCCATAGTAAATGGTGGATGAATATTTGCAGGATTTAGCTGGACTGCAGCATTGTGGAGGTCAGATAACCACATTTTGACAGACAAGTTGCATTCTAACCTTGAAGCAGACAAAATGCCCATCTTATCAGCCTCGCTCACATCAGCTGTGCCTTTCCTTTGTGGTTGTATGTTTATGAAGCTCATCCAACAAGCTTCTTAAAAAGGGGATTGGACCTTCGCCAGCCTCAGGCTGCATGGCAGGGTGACTGTGTCTTTGAATATCCCAGATGGAGGCTGGTCACCCTTTTGTCTTTGGGTGAATAGACTACTCAGGAAGGCAGGGATGCAGGCACCCCCATTTCTTGTTAATGAGTTTGCAATTTATTTTGGCAGATCTAAAATAATAATTCAAAGGCAGTGTAGAAGAAGATGGGGACATTACTTTTGTTTAATATTGTTATGACATGACATGTGCTTACAGAAAGAGAGGCAAGCCACCATCTTCAAGGGAGGGCATAGTCATCGACTGTGATCCTGGTGTCCATGTTGGAATATCATGGCAACTGTCTCCCAGCACTGAACTCGATGACTTCTGCTGCATTCCCAGTGTTAGCTGAGTTGCTTAATTTACTTTCTTCAACGCCATGTGTGAAAGGGAAGCTAGAAAACTGCACTATGTATGGCTTCGTGCACTGAAAATTTGACATTATCAAAGGAGGCATGATCTTGTCTCTCTCCATCCCTCTCCAAATGTTTTCTATAATTATATTCAGAGGCTCATGGGTCTTACCATGGGTGATCAAGGAAGGGCTGGTAACTCTTTCAACCACAGGTAAAATATTACAAACATCTGAAATATGCATTTTTACAGGTGAGAGAAATGAGGCCAGAAAAGTTAAGTGCATCATGTTGAGTACAATTTTATTTGGTGATCAGGCAGCCCTGGGTTCAAATCCTGGCTCTATTGCTACCAATTAAGCCACTTAACTCCATCTGAGCCTCAGGTTGCCCATCTGCATAATAAGCAGTAATAGCAGCTGTCGTGCAGGACTACTGTGAGAATTACAACTCAGGCAATGATCATGATATTTCTTGGCACAGAGGTGTTCACTACCTAGGTAGTGTTATTATTATTAGGCCTAAAGTCACAAACGGAGTTTTTGAGAAAGCTGGAATGAAAACTTGTTCCTCTCAGCTCTGAGCTTATTAGAGCACACCGTTTTGCATGAATAAAGCAGCCCTGAAGTCTCTCAGGGGAGGGTGTTTGTAACATCTGTTCAGGCACGGTTTCATTTGCTATATACCCAGAGACTAGCACGGTACAAGTTGTGGGGAGATACTCATGTGAGTTGGCGGACTTTGGGTCAAATATTTTCCCTAAACCCAGGTCTCTATGGCTTTCTACAGAACACTCTGCATCCTTCTAAGGGACACTGGAAGAGCAAATGGATTGTACAGTGAGTTACAAATAAAATGGCCAATCTCAGCATGAAAGGCTGGGGGTGTTACCTGAATGAGGATGCAGACCACTCCATCTACATACAAGCAAACCTAAGTGACCATGAGCCTGCCGGAAAGAAATCACATGCTATGTAAAGGCTTAGTAACAGTGATGAATATTTGAACTTGAACTCCAGCTCCAGAGCAGTTCAGTGGCCTCTCTTCCAGGAACAGAAGCCAAAGCAGCTCAGGATTCTTGAAGGCTCTGAAAGGTCAATGACAATCCTGGTATATGTCAAGACTTTCCCACCAAAGAAGGGCTCCATGTGTAGAGACTTAGAAAGGATTCCCAACTTCCGCCCCTTCAAAACCAGAAACAAAGGTGGGGGACAGCCCAATTAAGTGGCCCTAGAGATTTGCCCAGGAGCTGGAGCCCTCCGGAGAAGTCCAGTTTTCCTATGCAGGGAGAGGACTGGGAGTTCTCTGGTCACAAGCGTTCTGCCTTTGTTTTCATGAAGCTATGTCTCTTACCTGGTAAGAAAAATGGAACTTCATGCAGCTGCTGAAAACTTTAACCAAAACCCAAAGATGCTGGCACAAAGAAAGGAGGCCTGAAGAAAACAAGTGACCATGGAAACACATTTAGCTCTTAATCTGACCAATTTCTCATGGGCCAGGCCTGGTGCCAGGAATGCTGTGATGAATAAGGCCTGAGCTGAGATTGTGAGGATGAGACGGAGTCCACCCTGTGGGGATCTGGGATGATAGAAGGGCTCCGCAGATAGAGGACCCGGTGGCCAGAAGTTCTGCTGAGTGGAAAAGGGCTCGGAGTAACTGAGGTCAGCTGGATTCCTTAAACATTGCCCAGAGCCCTTGAAGCCATCTAAGGGCACACTTCTCAGGCCTGCTCCGAACCACACTCAACTGGGAATCTTTTAAGGACAGCTGCTCTGTTAGGCTTGCCTGAGATGGTGCAGTTTTCCCCCGCGGCGGCAGAGGCACAGACAGTTAAGAATGCAGGAGCGGGGCCTCACAATGCCTTGGACTAGGGCAAAGGAGGACCCCCGCCTCTCCCCTCCCGGGGCTAAGACATGGGAGGACCCCGACCGGTGGATCCATTGACTCTGGCACCAGAGGATCCCCGCTCTCCAGCGCCCTAGACTGAGGCAACAGAAGACCTCAGAACTGCTCCATCCTGAACTAGAGCACAGTGGGACCCGCGACCTGCCGTGGTCTCAGGCACTGGAGGACACCTGCAACGCCGTGCGCTAGACTATGCTACTGAAGGACCTCTACCGCGGCTCAGCCCTGGACTAAGGCACCGGAGGATCCCCGCCCTGCCCCGCCCCGCGGTGTCCTGGACTGTGCACTGCAGAACCCCCACCCTTCCACACCCTGGACTCTGGCTCCCGAGGACCTTGGCCCCGGCTCGCCCTGAACTACTCCTGCCCCTCAGCGCCCTGGACTGTGGTTCCAGAGGACCTGGTCCTGGGGCAACTTGTGCTACCGCGTGGACTCCAGGACCCCAGTCCTTCCACGCCCTAGACCAAGACACGGGAGAACCTCTGACTCGCCGCCCCCGAACTAGGGCACCAGAGGACCCACACCTTGCCGTGCCCCGGACTACAGCACGGAAGGACCCCCGATCCGCCGGGCACTGGGCTCCTGCACAGAGGGACCCCCGCCATGGAGGTCTGGACTACCCCTGCCCCACCGCACCCTGGACTACTGCACGCCAAGACCCTCGCCTGAACACGCCCTACACTCTGGCATGGGGGAACCCGGCCCCGCAGAGCCCTGGACTCTGGCATTGGAGGACTCCTCGGCTAGGTTCTGGACTCCTGCACCAGAGGACTCCTGCCCTGCCACACCCTGGACACCTGCACTAGAGAACCCTGCCCCGTCGCCCCCTAGACTATGGCACGGGAGGACCCCTGCCACCGACTTCGGCACGGTAAGACCCCTGACCCGCCTTGCACTGGATTCCAGCACTGGAGGACCCCCTGCCACGGCGCTCTCTGGACTACCCCTGCGCCACCGCGTCCTGCACTACAGCACAGCAGGACCGCCGTCCCACCGCGCACTGGACTGAGGCACAGCAGCACCCGGGCCTCGTGGTTGGTGGACCGCAGGACGAGGTGACCCCCCGCCCCGCTGCGCGTTGGACTATGGCACAGGAGGACCACCATTCCCGCATGCCCTGGACCACTGCAGGACAGGTCCCCCACTCCGCAGCGGCCTGGAATATGGCACTGCAGGACCCCCGCCCTGCTGCTCCACGGACTCCACCACTGAAGACCCTCGCCCCCCTGCACCCTGGACAAAGGCACGGGAGGACCCGGCTTCACCGCCCAGTGGGCTATCACATAGGAAAACCCCCAGCCCACCCCCATCGCACCAGAGACTCTGACAAGAGAGAACCCCTGCCCCCTGCTCCCCGGACTACAGCAAGGCAGGAACCACCCTCCTCCAGGATCCTCACTATGGCAACTGTGGAACCCCGCCCTGGTACGCCCTGGACTAAGTCACCGAAGGACCCCGACCCCACCACACCGTGAACTCCAGCACTGGAGGACCATTGCCTTACTGCGGACTCAAGCACTGGACTATCGCAGGGCTGGATCCCTGTCCCGCCATGCCCTACACTATGGCACGGGAGGACCCAGCCTCACTGAGCTCTGGACTCCAGCACCGGAGGACACCTACACGGAGGACTCCTGCTCCGCCACGTCCTGGACTCCTGCACAAGAGAACCCCCGCCCCGCGGCACCCTGGATATAGCAAGGCAGGAATCCCGCCCTGCAGTGTTCTGGACTGCGGCACCTGAGAATCCATGCCCCATCGCGCCCTGGACTGCTGCTCCACAGGACTCCTGTTCCACTGCACCCTGGACTATGGCACCAGAGGACCCAGCTCCCGGCAGCCTGGACTATGGCACCAGAGGACCCAGCCCCTCGCATCCTGGACTATGGCACCAGAGGACCCAGCCCCCTGGCGTCTTGGACTAAGGCACAGTAGGACCCCTCAGCATCGTGTATTCCTGCACAGGAGGACCCTCGCAGGGCTGCGTCCTGGACTGAGCTACTGAAGGAGCCTCACCCCTGCCTCACCCTGGTCTAAGGCACTGGAGAACTCTTGCTCCGCAGAGCTGCGGACTCTTGCACGAGAGAACCTGCGCCCAGCCGTGCCCTGGACTGTGGCACAGTAGGGCCCACACCGGGCCATGGACTCCTGTACTGGAGGAAGATTAGTGATAAATGTCCAGGTTTACAAGTTGAAAAGTAGCAGTCAATGTGCTACAATGGATGGATTTGATGTAAAATTACAAATGCTGAAAACATTATGTGTAATTGCCTAGCCAGATCAATTACACAAGACAAAGAAATAAAAGAAATCCATATAGGGAAGGAAGAGGTAAGATTGTTTCTGTTTTCTGAAAATATAATCTTAAGATACAGAAAATCTTTTTTTATTATTAATGTTCTATTTACTTATTTTTATAATATTTTATAAATAAACTTTATTCATATAAAACAGGCCAAACATCTGACATTCAAAAATGGCTACTGTTATAAAATCAGAAACATAGTCAGAGTGTTGGGAATATTGAAATTTCTAAATCTTTATGAATAACACAATCACTTAAGTTATATCCACAAAGAACAGAAAAGAGGCAAGCTTGAAAATATGAGGATAGAAAGATGTCACAGTGATGTGTTTTTAGAATCAGTACCTTCACCTCTAAGCAACTTTCAGGTAGGTGATAGCTAGCTCATAGGCACCAGAAATTCATAACAGAAATTAAATTACCCAAAAGGCACAGAAGAAAATGTTAACACAAGTATAAAAGTAATTTTATGTAAGGTTAAAACCTATTTTTAAAATGCTTCCAAATATGTAAAACTATACACAAGTCCATTACACATTCAGCTTAAGTTTACCATTAAAAAGTGTACACACAATACTGTAACTGTAAATACATGCCACCGTTTATAATGTAGCATTTACCACCACAGCACCCAAAGATATTAACAGAAACCAACTCCCCACTAAAATCTAGGGAAAGGTTTTAGAGCTAGTGAAATAATTTATTGCAGACCGTATTTATTATAAAGAAACTATTGGCTCATTCTACTGTATCCACACTCCCTCACAATCTTAAGGGAGATACAATAAATCCACTTTCTTCTCCTAAAATGATATTTAGCACATTTGACAAGGAGGAGTGGTTGTTTTATTCCTTTTTCTTATCTTTTTTTCTTTCTTTCTTTTTTTTTTTTTAAGAATAAATCACTTTCACAAAACTGAGACTCAAACTTTTTTGAAGCTCAGCTTGATTTGCTGGAACTACACAGAGACATGTTTGATCACACAACAGCAACCGTACATCCTCCCAAGTCTGGAATACGGAACTGATGGAGGACACTTACTTGCTTAAAATGTATTTGATTATTCTGCATTTATGATAAAAATATCATCCAGGGATCATATTCAAGAGGGTAAATTTAGGATTACATGTTTCTAGAACATATAATATGTAATGCCATCCAAAACCAACAACAAACAACATAGAGCACTGAAACTGAAGAGCCACTTAAAATTTAGAATTAGGAAATTTCAATCTATAATTGTCAAACAATAAGTGAGTTATAATATTTTTCTAATTAGAAAAATATCACCTAAAGTGGAAAGCCAGCATTTAGTTGGGGACTATGAGATACTACATCCTTGGTCTGGCTGGCCACCATTTTAAAGACCACCACAGATCTCAAGGCATGAGACCTCTCACCAACAAAATCTATCCCTGCTATTGCACCTAGTGCCATCTCAATATGTGGCAGACAGCAAATGTTCTAACTTAATCTGATAGATGCTCCTTTAGCATATAAAAGAGCTTGCTAAGTCCCTATTACCTGTAGCAGTCTATCAACTAAATATTTAAGAAGTCATTTCATAGGCAAGGTTTATGAATGACTTAGAAGTAAAATTAGTAATTTCTAAACCACTGTAGTGTTTTCTATGTTTTTAGAGATATTCCTAACACAGAGTTTTCCGAGGAGCTGTGAAAACAAGTACAAACGTACATAAGTAATTTTGTCAGGGATGTTTCTGTACTAATTTGGGGGAGACTTGTGGGCCATAAATAAATGAGATACACATCCTAAAAATAATGGTAAAAATTATCAAGTACCACTTTCAGATGGTTACTCAAGTATCAACTTGGTATGCAAGTAAGTTCACCGATTTCTTCACCTATGATTTCATACTCAAAGTGCTACATCTTACTTAGGTACTGATAACATTTAGAAACCTTTATAATCAGCCTCTTAAAGAAAATCCAGCCTTTTCAGATGGTAAACTTGTCTTTACTAACTTTAATGCCCGTAACTATTTTGATATAACCAAACAAAAATTTTTAAAAATATATTCCTTACAGCTCCTGATTAACTTATTTTTTGATACATTCTGAGGCTAGTAACAAAATTTAGACCAGAATAGGTTTTCATATATCAAAAAAAGGAAAGGAACACGGAGAGCACAGATGAGACGTATGGAGGCTCTATACTATAGACCCATCCTTGCTCTGTGCGGGAATCATCACAGGAATCGCGCCCATTCGACTTAGATTAGGGGCAGCTACCTTAGCAGGTGGGAGAGTCGGACTCTGAGGAGTGCGTTCAAAGTCTTCACTTGGTACTTGTTTATACTGAGTCTTGGAATATCCTTCCATGTTGGAAGGAGTTATGGATCCCAGGGATGAATGATTACTGCCTATGTAGCTTCTGGCAGTGGACGTGCGGCTCTTTGGAGGCGGCACATCTTCCTTGATATCGTGATGAACTTCCTTTTCATATTTTTCTTCTCTGCGCTTTTTACGACAGCAAAAGATGATAAGACCAATGAGCACTAGAGCAAGCAAAGTTCCTATAATGGCTCCTGCAATTAGTCCAGCTTTATTTGAAGGAGGGACAACGTTTACACGCAACAGGCACTGATCAGAGCCCACTCTGTTTCTGATGTACAGCTGTATGTCCCAGAGTACTCAGAAGAAGCATTTTTATAGATATAACAGATGAAGTCATTTCTGCTAACCATGAAGTGGGCATTTTCTGTGAGTCAGACAATTTTTGCCACTCATACTGTAATGGAAGTGAACCTTCTTTTGGTTCACATTTTAATTTAAAGTCACTTCCAATTTCTTCTGATCCATCAACGTAACATCTTGTACCTGAAGGCTTACCAAGAACTACCAGCTGAATCTTCTTATTTGCAACACCAGGAGCTCTTTTCACTTTGCACTGATCTGTGCCAATATCTGACAGCTGAAAATTCGTTACATTTATTGATGCATCACCAGATTTGAGATCATTACTCTTAAAATGTACTCGGCCTTTCAGATCTGGATAGTAGTCATCATAAATTTTGTCTCCAGAATATAAAATAATCACTTGATCCACCTTCTGATTATCAGCTGGTGATATCAGCCACTCGATGTCCAGTGGTCCCTGGTCTTCAGGACTAAGCGTAAATTTGCATGGCAGATAGGCAGTTTCCCCTTTGGCTTTTTCAATCATCTGCTCAGGAGTAGTGATACTCCAACCTCTGATGAAATCCGCGACTCTGCACAGGAGCACGAAGCGCAGCAGGAGCGCCATGGTGGCTGCCGTGCCGTGGGCGGCGGCTGCAGGTAGGCGGCTCTCGCTCCAGGTCCTAGGCTCCCCGCGCCTGGCGCACTCAAGGTAGAGAAAATCTTAAAGACTCCACCACAATAAACGGTTAAAGCTGATAAAGAAATTCAATAAAGTTAATAGTTACAAAATCATACAGATAGCATTATTGTTTCTATACATTAATGACAAACTATTACCTGAAAAATAAATTAATAAGGCAATTCAATTTATAATAGAATCAAAACAGATATAAAAATATGTAAAAGACTTAGGAGTAAATTTAATCAAGAATGTGAAAGATTTGCACACTGAAAACTATAGCACATTGATGAAAAAAGTTAAAATGGCATAAATAAATGGAGAAACATCCTTTATTGATTGATTCAAAAATTAGTATTGTAAAAGTGTCAATGCTACCCAAAGCAACCTACAGATTAAATGCAACCACTATCAAATTCCCAGAAATAGAAAAATTACTGCTAAAATTTGTATGAAACCACAAAAGACCCTGACTAACCAAAGCAATCTTGAACAAAAAGAATAAAGCTGGAGGCATCAGACTACCCGATTCCAAACTATATTACAAAGCTATAGTAATTAAAACAACATAGCAGTGGCATAAAAACAGACATGTAGAACAGTGCAAAGGGATATAGAACACGTAAATAAATCCGTATGTCTGTGGTCAATTGGCTTTTTGATAAAATAACTAAAAATACACAATGAAGAAAGAAAATTATTTTCAATAAATGGTGTAGAAAAAACTGACTATCCACATACAGAAGAATAAAATTTGACTTTTCTTTTGCTCTTTATACAAGCATGAAATCAAAATTAAAGACTTAAATGTAAAACTACTACAAGGAAATATAGAAGAAGACTGTATGACATTGGCCTGAGCTATGATTTTCTGTAGATTATTCCAAAAGCACAGGCAACAAAAGCAAAAACACATGAATGAGATTGCATAAAACTAAAAAGCTTTTCCACAGGAAAAGAAGTGATAATAGAATGAAGAGAACCCACAAATGGGATAACATTTTTAAACCATACATCAGATAAGGGGCTCATATAATAATATATAAGTAACTCAACCTACTCAAACATAAGAATAAAACTATGCTTATTAAAAAAAATAAGCAAAGAACCAGAATAGACATTTCGTAAGGCATACAAAAGGCCAACAGGTACATGAAAAAATCATAAACATTTCTAATTATCAGAGAAATGCAAATCAAAGCCACAATGAGATATCACCTCACACATTTTACTAGGGCTATTATAAAAAAAGATGGAAGATAAGTGTTGATGAGGATGTGGAGAAAAAGAAACCCTGTGCACTGTTGGTAAGAATGGAAATTAGCACAGCCATCTTGGAAAACAGTATGAAGCTTCCTCAAGAAATTATAAATATATTTACCCTATGATCCATCAATCCCACTTCTGGATACGTGTCCAAAGGAATTTTAATCAGTATGTCAAAAACAGACATCTGCAATTTCATGTTCATTGCAGCATTATTCATAATACCCATGAATTAGAAACAACCTAAGTGCTTATCAACTGAAGACTAGATAAAAATATGTGGAAAAATTGGAACCCTTCTACACCACTGGTGAGACTTTAAAATGTAAAGCAGTCTCGCAGTTCTTCAAATGGTTAAACATAGAGTTATCACGTGACCCAGCAATTCCACTCCTATGTGTTTACCAAAAAGAAAATAAAACAAATGCTACACAAACAGTAGTACACAAATGTTTATAGCAACACAAAGTAGAAAACAACAGAAATGTTCATCAGCTGAGGAGTGGATAAATAAAATGTGGTGTGTCCATAAAATAGAATCTTATTTAGCAAGAAAAGGTAAAAAACTGTTAATGCATGCTCCAAAATGGATGAACATTAAAAATATGTTAGGTGAAAGATGTGAGTAAAAAGTGACTATGTGTTATTATAATTCCATTTATGTGAAATGTCCAGAATGGGCAAATTCATAGTCAGAAAGTAGACGAGTGGTTGCCTAGACTAGGAGGGGTTTAAAAAAGACTGGAGAAAATGGGGAAAGATTGCTAATGGGTGCAAGTCTCTTTTAAGGAAAATAAAATGTTCTAAAATTATATTATGATGATTATTTGTCCATCCAGTTAATATACTAAAAGAATTTGAAGTTTGTACTTTAAATGAGTGAATTACACAATGTATAAATTATATCTCAATAAAGCTGTGGAAAGTTAAAAGTATATGTAGGATGCATACAAAAATACTACTTATCTTTATAAATGAATGAAAATCTGTCATTTGCAAAAACATGGATGAATTTAGAGGACATTATGCTAAGTAAAATAAGCCAGACACAGAAAGACAAATATCTCATAGTATCACTTATATGTGAAATCCAAAACTGTGCACTCATAGAAGTTAAGAATAGAATGGTGGTTTATCAGAGGCTGAGCAGGGTGGGGGGCAGGGGTGGAAAAAGGGGAAATATTGAATGGGATAATGTTTCAGTTAGGAGAAAGACATTCTGGTGATATGGTGCACAGCAAAGTGACTGCAGTTACTCATAATGTAGTGCATATCTTAAAAGTGCTAAAATAGTACATTTTAAATGTTTCACCATAATGTAATACATATCTGAGGTGAAGGATACGTTATTTAGCCTAATTAGTCCATTTCACAATATCTACATGTATCGTACCACATTGTACCCTATATATATTTATTTATCAATAAAATCAACATTTTAAAAAGTGAGGAACACAGATGTGCTAGATCTTCATCTAAAGACATTTCTGAGAAAAGTGTATCTGTTTTCCTTCAGAAGAAATTTACACTTAATAGATATTATGGTAACTAAAGTAAGGCAGATAATTTTGGCCATCAGCTTTTATTGTGGGATAATCTCTTTTTGCTGACCTTGTAAAAGCTGTGGCATATTAACAAGTAGGAACATTTTTTTTATCATGATCAGGTAAAGATTCTGCAAGTTTCTATTTTGAATATTTCCCCAGGAATCACAAAGTGTGAATGCCTTTTATTTCAGAGGTCTAGCCCTAAATGGTTTAGTCAATTACATCATGCATTCTGAAATAAGTACTGGTGCATTTGGGAAGGTACTATATATAATTGTGTTTTAAATTTAACTATCATATAAATCTACTTTTCTAGTTAACAGTTTATATTTTATAGAGGCCCTCCATATACATAAGAGCTTTTCTGATAGTATATCCATTAGATTTCAAAGATAAGTAAAGGAACAATTTTGCTTTTATTTATTATTATTATTATTTTTTAAGGCTAGTCAAGTGAAGCAGTGGGAGTGGAGAAGGAACTGCTTTAATTTTTATATGTTGGTGTTACAGGCTATATGTGACAGGCTGTATATTTTTCTGCTGAATTTTAGAAACAAAATGAAATATTTATTTCCTATTTCATTAGATTTAGGGATGATGATTACATTGAGGGGTTGGGACTAGACTGAAGGCACCACATCATCAATCACTTGGAAACAATATTTTGCCTATGTGTTATGTTATATTGACAAAAACTTTTATTGTGGCAGGCAATATAGCTCCCTATTGAAATATGTGAAAAATGTAGAGAAAAAAGGACAATATTAGTTATCAAGGGATATTTAGGCCTGAGATGCATGATGCTAATATTCAAAACATACACTTTTTAAAAATTAGATTTAAAATGTAAATTGAAGCAGAACATTTAGAAAAAGACATAATATCTACTATAAAAGTCCTGGGTTAGAAAAGTTAAAATGCTAAATGAAAAAATAATGCTTCTTGGGTGGCTTAAAATCGAATATGAGACAAAAGATTACTCAGAAATGTTTCTAAGATTAAAAACGTGTATACAGTTTCTTTGATATAAAATGAAATAAATGTCTGGATATAACTTTAACAGAATAGAATAGGGAGACAAGGGCAACGAGCAGGTGTATGTAGAATAAAGTGAACATATTATTGTAATAATGAGAGGGACAGAGTTGAATGATTGCTCTTGGAGACAAGGGATTTTGATGTCTAAGTTAATGACAAATCTTTTGTTTGCAAGTTTAAAAATGTAACTTAAACCTGGTGAAGGAATAAAGGGTGGTTGGAGGGATGATTCTTTGTACACTAAACTTATTTTAATGACTAATGAATTAATCATAAGTTCAAATGATTTTATGGAGGCCCTTTCTTTATTTGATATTTCTGGACTCCTTTTTTCTTTGTGTGTGCTCCATTTTTACCTACTTGAACAATTTTTACCCCCAAAGTTTAGGAAACACTGTAACCAAATGTTCCAACATGATATAATCCCTGAAGGCATTTGCAGCTGGGGGAGTAGGGGAAAAGGGGTTTCTCTTTCAACAAATGCATGTTAACCTCGGTGAAAACTCAGAAGTTTAAACATGGTCCCCCTTGGGTCATGTGGCTACCTCAGGACCAATCATTGCACCAGACATAGGAGATAATCTCAAAAGCCAGGTTGGAGTCAAGGTTCTCCAGTGGAATTTCCACTTTAGAAATCAGTTTTGTCAGGCTTTGTGTTTGCATATTACAGACATGATAGCCATATAGCTATCTATTCCAGTAGAGATGAAAACCTAAGAGCATATGCCCATTCAAAGGATTTTACATGAATCTTCATAGCAGCTTTACTTGCAACAGCCAAAACCTGAAAATAGTCCAAATATCCATGGACAGGTGAATTTGTGACTTATAAACTTACTATGGTATCTGTATATAATGAAATAATACTCCCTAGTAAGAACAGAACAATTGATAGATGTAGCAACATGAATAAATCTCAAAAATAGTGATGCTGAGTGATCAGAAAGTATACATACCCTATGATTTTATGTATTTGGAAATAAAAACTCACGGATAGTGACTAGAAGTGGATCAGTGGTTGCCTGTGGATGGAATGGGGATAGGCAGGAAAAAGTGAGTAGAAAAAGCACAAGGAAACTTTGGTGGTAAAGGTAATGGATATGTTTTCTATTTTCATATGTTGTTGGTTTTGTAGAGCTACAAATGCCAAGAATTATCAAAATGTACAATTGAAGTATGTGCAGTTTATTGCATGTAAATAAACCTTTTAAAAATTAACCGATACAAATTGACTTACATGACCAGAAAGCTCTTGAAAAACTCTCCTGTTTTCTCCCCTATTTTTATTCTTGCATGCCCTTATAGCCTGTGTTAACACATTTCTCATCTTACCGTTATTTTGTGTCTACATTTCACCAAGTCAATATAACTATCACCATAATTTCTTGGTTTCTCTTTAGTTCATTAGTAATTATGAGTAATGTATTGAAATGTTAAAGATATGTTCATGCATTCAGAATGCTCTGCTCTCTGATCCACATAATAGTGAATTATGCTCTCAATAATTACACAGTATAGTACTTTTTTTTTTTTTTTTTTTTTTTGAGACGGAGTCACACTTGGTTACCCAGGCTGAAGTGCAATGGTGCATTCTGGGCTCACTGCAACCTCCACCTCACGGGTTCAAGTGATTTTCCTGCCTCAGCCTCCTGAGTAGCTGGGATTACAGGCATCTGCCTTCATCCCCGGCTAATTTTTGTATTTTTATTGGAGACAGGGTTTCACCATGTTGGCCAGGCTGGTCTTGAACCTCTGACCTCAGGTGACCTGCCTGTCTTGGCCTCCCAAAGTGCTGGGATTATAGGCATGAGCCACCACCCCTGGCCAGAATATTGCTACTTTTGCAAATAGCTACAATTGACCCTGATCTGGACTTTGAGTTGATCACAGCTTTGTAAAAGAGGATAGCATTGTAAAACTGCAAAATTAGACTAATAATAACATAGAATGCTTTCAGTATAAGAAATAATACTATCCTAAGCAAAAATAAATAAATAAATAAAACTGGAGGAATTATATTATCTAACTTCATATTATACTACAGAATTACAGTAACCAAAAGAGTAGGGTACTGGCATAAAAAGAGGCCCATAGATCAATGAAACACAATAGAGAACCCAGTAACAAATCTACATACCTACAGTGAACTCATTTTTGACAAAGGTGCCAAGAACATACACTGGTGGGAAATGGTGTTGAAAAAACTGGATATCCATATGCAGAAGAATGAAAACAGACTAGTATCTATCACTGAATACAAAAGTAAAATCAAAGTTGATTAAAGATGTAAAGCTAAGACCTCAAACTATAAAACTAGTACAAAAAAACTTTGGGGGAAATCTCCAGGATATTGGTCTGGGCAAAAATATCTTGAGCAATACCCCACAAGCCAGGCAACCAAAGCAAAAATGGACAAATGGATCACATTAAGTTAAAAGCTTCTGCACGGAAAATGATACAAGCAACAAAGTTAAGAGATAATCCACAGAATGAGAGAAAATATTTGCAAACTACTCATCCAACAAAGGATTAATAATCAGAATATATAAAAAGCTCAAACAACTCTTTAAGAAACAATCTAATAACCTGGTTAAAAAAAAGGGGGCAAAAGATTCGAATAGATATTTCTCAAAAGAAGACCTACAAATGGCAAACAGGTATAAGAAAAGGTGCTCAATATCACTGATCATCAGAGAAATGCAAATCAAAACTACAATGAGATATCATCTCACCACAGTTTATATGACTTGTATGCAAAAGACAGGCAGTAACAAATGCTAGCAGGGAAGCAGAGAAAAGGGAACACTTGTACATTGCTCCTGGGAATGTAAATTAATAAAACCACCAAGGTGAACAGTTTGGATGTTTCTCAATAAACTAAAAGTTGAGCTAGCATATGATCTAGCAATCCTACTGCTGGGTCTCTACCAAAAATAAAGGAAATCAGTATGTCAAATACATATCTGCACTCCTATATTTGTTGCAGCACTGTTTACAAAACTAAGATTTGGAAGAAACCTTAGTGTCCATCAACAGATGAATGGATAAAGAAAATGTGGTACATATACACAATGGAGGACTATTCAGCCGTAACAAAGAACAAGATCCAGTCATTGTCAGTAACACTGATGGAACATTATGGATCATTATATTAAGTGAAATAAGCCAGGCGCAGAAAGACAAATGTTACATGTTCTTACTTATTTGTGGGATCTAAAATCAAAACAAACTCATGGACATAGAGAGTATAAGGATGGTTATCAGAGGCTGGGAAAGGTAGTTGGGGGGGGATTTTGTGGGAAGGTGGGGATGGTTAATGGGTATAAAAATAGAGAGTTAATAAGACCTACTATTTTATAGCACAATAGGGTGACTATATCCAATAATAATTTCATTGTACATTTTGAAATAACTAAGACTGTAATTGAATTTTTTATAACTTGAAGGATAAATGCTTGAGGGGAGGGATACCCCATTCCCCAAGATGTGCTTATTTCACCTTGCATGCCTGTATCAAAACATCTCAGGGACCCCACAGATACATACACATACTATGTACCCACAACATTTTTAAACAATCTAATACAATTTTTTAAATGGCTCTTATTTTTTGTTACCTTCAATTATTGTAAAATATATTCTATTATTTATGATTTGCCTTGTTTGAAAACAAATTTTAAAAACACTATTTAAGACCAGATAAATGGACTAGGAGTAACTTGCATAAAAATGACAGAAATTGCTGCTACTTCTTCTAATTATTGAGATGGTATTTCTATATTTGTGAAATTATCTGATAGAAAATTGAATTGTTTCCAACATTATTTTTCATAATTAAACATGTTATATTGCTACTTCTTTAAAAGTAGCCTTTAAAATATTACCAATCTATTTTAAAGTCTACTTGCCAAAACATTAAACTATTCTTAAAAAAAGTAATTTATTTAATTACCTAACATCCTCAAGCAATGTCCTAATTTTCTCAAGCAATTATCTGATTTTCTCAAGCAATTGATATTAGCAAGTTGTGCTAGCTAACTGCTGAGAATCATTGTCTACATATGAGATAAATCATCTATCAATCCTTTAAAGAAGACTTTATGAGCCATAGAGATTGTAGTCCAATCTGTATCACTGACTTTAAACATTGGATAATTGACACTCCGTGTTGTCTGTAAGCCTATTTCACAGCAGCTGAGTGATGTTAATAGGTACCTCTTGGAGTGCCATTTTCCTTGTAACCCTTAGATTAATTCAGATTGACTGAGTTCTGTGTCAGTGGAAATTGCCAGAATTATATCATGCTGCTTTGCATCTAGTTTCACTTTTCCAAAAGCCTACACAGATTTCAGATGTTTAGAAAATAGCTCTTGTTTTCCTTCTGGGTAATCTTTTTCATGTCACCACTCTTGTCAGCATCTGCATTGGGCAAATTTCCTAGGACCTCCCTTCTGTGTCTTTTAAAATATGAAAACAAAATCAATGTAGCGCAGCAAGCCAGGGAAAGTCTGCTTTGATTGACTTACGGCCATAGTCACCCAGCAGTTCCTTCAGATGTGGCTTCCCAGGTCAGCCACTGAGCCCACCGCTGTCCTCCTGCCTGCAGAAGTGGCTCTGTGAGCCGTTTGAGGAGAAAATGGGGGACTTTGGGCTTCAGCCCGAGGAGAACACGGTGGAGATGGAGGAGCCCCTGGGCGTCCGCAGGTTAACTGAAAACATGAGAGGACACAAGCACGGGACCAAGTCTGTCACTAACCTGTAAAGTACTCTCACCAAGCCGACCGGGCACTTTGTCTGAGCGCCTGCCTTTGCCACCACTGTGTGCAGGAATGCCTGGGTCATGACTGGGCCATCCCAGTGTTCTTATTTCTATACATTCCGAGGTTACCCCTCAGCAAAACTCCAGAGGCTGGCAGACACAGCGGAGCATCCTGCAGTAGGGATCCGAAGCCGTGGAATCTCCAAAGGACCACTTGACCGCGTCCCAGAAGCTCCAGCTCAGGCTGGACATTGCCCAGAAAGCCCACATCATCTTTGGCAAGACCTCCCGGATTGTGGTTTTGATTTGCATTTCTCTGATGGCCAGTGATGATGAACATTTTTTCATGTGTCTGTTGGCTGCATAAATGTCTTCTTTTGAGAAGTGTCTGTTCATATCCTTCGCCCACTTTTTGATGGGATTGTTTGATTTTTTCTGGTACATTTGTTTAAGTTCTTTGTAGATTCTGGATATTAGCCCTTTGTCAGATGGGTAGATTGCAAAATTTTTCTGCCATTCTGTAAGTTGCCTGTTCACTCTGATGGTAGTTTCTTTTGCTGTGCAGAAGGTCTTTAGTTTAGTTAGATCCCATTTGTCAATTTTGGCTTTTGTTGCCATTGTTTTTGGTGATTTAGACATGAAGTCCTTGCCCATGCCTATGTCCTGAATGGTATTGCCTAGGTTTTCTTCTAGGGTTTTTATGGTTTTAGGTCTAACATTTAAGTCTTTAATCCATCTTGAAAAGTTAATAATAATAAAAATAATAATATGGAAGAAATTTAAAAAAAACCTCCCAGAGACCAGGAACTTGGGGCGCGCGGCCTGAGATCACCCCAAGCTCTGGGTGCCTTCCTGTCCTTCTGCTTCTTCCTTGGCCGCTTTAGGGGGCGCGCCTTGCCATGCGTCTCCCTGCGGGCGGCGCGGTGGTGCTCCTGGATGTCACCTCCAGGCGCTTTTGAGACTGCGACCGGCACCGGGCACCAGGCACCTGCGGATTGGCCTCCCCACGCCGGGTTCAGGGACCTCCAGCGCTCCGCGGTGCAGGCTGCAGGCGACCTCAACGTGGAGCTGCTGCCAGCGCCACAGGCCCCAGGGGAGGCCCAGGATGCTGCTTCCCCGCCCCAAGAAGGGCAGTTTGGAGGAAAGTCTTCGGCCTGATGGAAGGCGGCGCCCATCGGGGGCGGGGCTGAGAACTAGGCCGGCGCCGCTGCCTGGTAAGCGGGGACCAAGAGGCCCACGGCCTCCATCAGGAACCAGGTGCTTCTCCAAATCCCGGACGTCCAGGAGGAACAACGGCGTCAAGCTGGCTGACACCAGGAACACCCAGAAGTCCCCGCTCCTGTCTGTCCTTCCGCACTCAGGAGCGGGGATGGCCACAGGGACACCATCTGCCCACAAACCGCTGGCGTTTGCTGCCATGGTGCACGGAGATGCGGTCCCCGAGGAGGCCACTTTCGGCCAGGACGCCGGGATCGTATCAGCGGCAGCATCCCGCGCTGACACTCAGTATTGACTTTTCCCGGACATTGCTGGATTTTTTCCTTTTTAAAACAATTTTGCAGTGGGAGAACAAAAAAGGGCATCCTCAGAGCTTTTACAAAATTCTCCTGGACCTGTTGTTCTATGGTGTTCACCTCTGCGTTTTACGGACCACTAATGGGCCAGAGCTCCTAAGGCCTATAAGGGCCCCACCCAGCGCTTTAAACACCCCTGAGGGACACTCGCGGCTCAGGAGGATAAATGTTCTCAGGGGCCTGCTGTGAGGAGGACATGCAGCCCCTCAGCCACCACATCTTCCTCCATTCCAGCCTGGAAAGAGAGACCTGGCCCTCCACCTTACAGGCCTTCCTGACCTTGGGACCCACTCTAGAGGCCACGCGCATTTCCACTGCCAAAGCAATGACACAGGAGATGGAAAGAAATTCTTGGCCAGGCGCGGTGGCTCACGCCTGTAGTCCCAGCACTTTGGGAGGCCAAGGCGGGCAGATCACGAGGTCAGGAGATCGAGACCATCCTGGCTAGCAAGGTGAAACCCCGTCTGTATTAAAAACACCCAAAAGGTGGCCGGGCTTGGTGGCGGGCTCCTGTAGTCCCAGCTACTCGGGAGGCTGAGGCGGGAGAGTGGCGTGAACCCGGGAGGCGGAGCTTACAGTGAGCCGAGATTGCACCACTGCAGTCCAGCCTGGGGGACAGAGCGAGACTACGCCTCAGGAAAAAAAAAAATTATTTTGCCTTCACTATATGCCTAAGTAATTTCTCTATTAGAGCCCAGAGTCGTGGGGCCCACACCGCCAGCTGACACATGAAAGTGTGGCAACGATGTGGTGGTGTCTCTGTGTGGCAGCGTGGTGGTGTGTCTGTGTGGTGGTGTGTCCGCATTTCTGTGTGGTGGTGTGTCCGTGTGGCAGAGTGTCTGTGTGGTGCTATGTCCATGTGGTGGTGTGTTCATGTATCTGCATGGTGATGTCTCCGTGTGACAGTGTGTTTGTGTATCCGTGTGACAGTGTCTGTGTGTCCTTGTTTCCACATGGCAGTGTCTGTGTGGTGGTGTCTGACAGTGTGGAGGTGTGTCCATGTGACAGTGAGGCGGTGTGTGTGTGTGTGGCAGTGTCCATGTGGCAGTGTGTTTTTGTGTTCGTGTGAGTGTGATGGTGTGTCCATGTGACAGTGTAGTGATGTCTCTTGTGTGTGTCCCTGTGATAGTGTGGTGGTGTGTCCATGTGGTGACGTCTCCGTGTGTCTGTGTGTCCCTGTGATAGTGTGGTGGTGTGTCCGTGTGGATTTCTCCGTATGTCTGTGTGTCCGTCCATGTGAATGTGCCAGTGTGTCCATGTGACGGTGTCTCCGTGTGGTAATGTCTCCGTGTGTCTGTACATGTGACAGTGTGGTGGTGTGTGCGTGTAACAATGTGGCGGTGTTCCCTTCCCGGCTTGCGGAGCTGGCGTCTTTCCCTCTCAGCCCAGGACGCCCCAGGAGACCCCCAGCTTGGAGGGCAGGAGGTGGCTTCTGTGGAGGGAGGCGCAGGGAGCCCCAACAGCCGAGTTTTGGGGTCCCCTGCATTGGGTGGGAGTGAGGAGAAAGGTGCCCGGGCAGCCAGGACAAGCCTGGGCCTGCCCTAAGGAGGTGACCCACTCCGGGCCTGCATTTTGGGGCGAGCACTCCAGCTCGGTCATCTTGTCCTAAGTCCTTTGTGTGCCGTGGAGATTGCTGAGTTTTGAAGAAGGGAAGGTCATCTTTGTCGCGGAAAGCCTGATGTGTTTCTCTATTGCTGTCACTTTTCAGCCTCATGGCTGGCGAAACATCAAACATTGGGCACCTTCTGCCAAGAAAACTCCCGGAAGAAAATGTGGGGACTGGCAGTATCCAACCAGAGGAGTCACACACAGATTTCTGTTTGGTTGGAGATCGGCCGTTTTTCCCTGTGGGTGGGGGAAGCGCAGCAGCTCTGCAGCGGGAAGGAAGGGGGGTTCTGTGTGGCCAGGAAGGTCCTGGCCCGGGGCGGAGGGGCCAGAGGTGATGTGCGGCGAAAGGCTGTGCAGGGCAGCGGGCAGTGTGCATCGCCCCTACTGCCGGGCGCCCAGGAGGAGGACAGGTCCCGGCCTGGCAGGAGCAGAGGCGACGGGGCTGGAGTCCCCGCACCAGGCTTGAGGGCCGGCGGAGCCGCAGGCTGTGGCGGAGGGGGACTCCCGGGCACCTGGTGGGTGTCCCCATGACCAGGATGCACACCGGGCTCCGGAGGCCAGGCGGACCAAGCTAGGGGTGCCAGGGGAGGCTCGAGGTTCCCTCGGTGGGAGGTGGGTCCCTGGACCCTGGTCTCCTGCTGCTGTCCCCCCTTCGCTCAGGGGCGCCCCGCCAGGGTCGCCTATCTGGGACCTCAGCGCAGCTCCTAGTGGGCGGGAGGCTGAGGCAGAGGCCTCCGGGCCCAGCTGGGTCTGCAGTTTCCACCACTCGTGATGCAGGGCGAGCTCAAGCTGTGCCACCCAGGCAGGAAACCCTCCGACCTTGCCAGCTTTGGCGCCAGCCTTGGTGACTCTCTCCAGCTCAGCTTCAACACCTTTCAACAGTTCTGTGTTCTCTATTATCACAAGAATTCTTTCTGTATTTCCTATCCTTTATCAAATAGGAATTTAAATATGCATATGGAGTGATTATCACAGTTGAAACATTAAACAATATACAATTTCATGTGTCTTTTTTGTTTAATGTATAATTTTCTAAGAAGTAAAATTATGACTCTACTGCAAATATAAGATAAACACATATCAACAATGTTTTTCAACTCAATAAGCGATGAGGGTTCCAGTAACAGGTTCAAATCATTGCAAGGAACATTAAAGGAGCTTTACAGCCAATGTTAACGTCAGATCGCTGGGTACTTACAGTACTGGTTAGTATCCAACATAGCCAGAAGCTGTCATCTTTGTGAGTTCTCTCTTCCATGGCACAGAAATGATGCGTTTTTCTACTGTACAAAATATTTATCTTTTCTACTACTTCTGCACATAAAAATATTGCTAGTCAGAAAAGACCAGAATTGCACTGAAAGAAAATCTCAGTAATATCTCTCACCTGTATTCTTACTTTTTCTTCCTTTATGAAATATCTTTCAACTGCATTTTCTATCTGAAAGTTTATAGAGAGATGAAAATGAATAAAAGCATAGTAAGTGAATATTTTGATAACATTTTGCAGCTTTATTCATGTCTAACGAACATAAAACACACTTCCAATATTTAAAGTGTAAATGAGATGAATTTGATATGTACATGTGCCCATTAATCACCATGAAGGGGACAATGAGCATATCCAATACTCTCAAAGCTTCCCAGTTCTCTTTTGTAATGCACACTCATACCTCTCAGGTGTGAAGTATTGAGCTTCACACACACACACACACACACAAATATATACTGGGATATCTAATTGTTTCAGAAGCATTTGTTGAAAATGTTATGTCCATGAATGGTCTAAGAACTTTATCAAAAATTAGCTGATAGATGATATACATGTGTATATCTATATTTGTACTACATTGTCTTAAGTATTACTGTAATGTTATAAGTCTTGAATCCAGGTGCTGTTAATTCTCCAGCAGCACCTGGTTTCAAAGTAACTGTTTCCTTTCAAAGTAATTTGCCATTATAGGTCCTCTACCCATCGATGTACATTTCAGAATTTTAGTTTCTCAATTTCTAAAATAAGAAATCCAGCTGTGATTTGATTGGAATTGTTATAGATCAATGTGGAAAGAGTAGACATCTTAACAATATTGAGATTTATGACTCATAAATTCCATTTATTTAGGTCTCGTTTATTTTAGCAATATTTTGTAGTTTTGTAGTTTTCAAATGTTTCTCTTTTTTGCTGGTTTATCTCTAAGTACTACATATTTTGATATTTACAATAATATCAAAATTATGGTAATATTAATGCAAATGTTGTTTTATTTTTTCCTCCATTAATTGTCAGGTAGTTTTAAATCATAATTTAATTGTATGATAAAACTGAATTTTGCGAGAAATGTATACATATTGTATATATACTTTTTTTCAGTTTGGCAGATTGACTGCATTATCATATCATAATTTAAAATTGCACTAATTACCACTCAGCCTCCTCTCAAGGACAATATATCAAAATATATAGCATGTTTCAGTTTACTTAGCATCATGAAACTCTCATATTGCACTTACTTTTGGAAACCTGGAATAATAAAATAATGTAAATGTCAGTTCACAGGCGACATATGAGTACATGCGACAATTTTCTAAATATCGACCTATCGCTCTTTAATTCTATGTTAATATTGTCAATTTTTTCCTCCTCTTGCAACTCTCTTATGCAGCTTATTGACTTTTGGTTCAATTCCTTCCCTGTTTTCCCCCCAATCTACTTTCTAATATTTTACTGATGTTGTGCTCCTTTTTATTTGGACACTTTTAAAAAGCTGTGTAATTTCTCCTTTGTATTAAAATGCAAATCCATATCCAAAATAAATGAGCGGAGGGACCAAAAAGATGTTTGTGCAGCGTGTCCGTTAGCAATATTATTCACAATAATCAAAGGGAGGGAGCAGCCCATGTGAATATTGATGGATGAGTGGTTAAACAAAATGTGGTATATACGGCAACATAATAATATTCAGCCTTAAAATATATTCTCACACATGCTACAAAATAGATGAAACTTGAAGACATGCTAAGTGAAATAAGCCAGTCAGAAAAATTCAAACATTCTATCATGCCACTTCTATGAGTTACTTAGTGAAATTTGTAGAGACAGAAAGTAGAATGGTGATTGCTAGGGGGAAGGAGAGGGAGAGGAATGGGAAGTTGGTGTTCAATGAGTAAAGCATTTTAGTTGGAGAAGAAGACAAGTTTTGGAGGTCTATGGTGGTGACTGTTGCACAATAGTGCAAATATACTTAATGCCACAAAACTGTGCACTTAAAGTGATTAAAAAGGTAAATTTTATGTTGTGTATATCTTTCCAGAATTATAAACCTGCCATCACAGTATAGAAATAGAATATATTATATAGCGTTAGGTGATGATATTTTACACATTTGCACATAATTAGAATTTCAAAGCCTTAATTTCAGATACGGTAGTCTAAGACATAACAATATTGATGTAAGAAAGCCGTAAGAAATGTTTATTTTCAATCAGATTTACTAAAAAAATTTATTGAACTGGTCAATTTTCTTTGCCAATATTACTGTATTCTTATTTCTAGTAATAGAGGTGTGAGAAAGCATCAAGGAAACTAAAATTGCATTCTCATACTGACTGCATACAATAATTCTGAAAACAGCAGAAGTTATGTATATCCCCCATAAGTAAAACATGAGTAACACAACAGAACAAAAATTAATAGGAGACAATTCAAATAATGGTGACCTGTTATTCTTATCTAGTTAAGTACTATTCTTTTCTAACAGGAATTTGCTATTTCAAATATATTATCTGAGATGTCTATATTTATATTTTGAGATGCCATACAAACTTGAGTCAATGACATAGAATTTTACAAATCAAGAAGCTTATTCTGGGGTCATTTCTTTTGACATTAAACTACTAAAGAGGCATTAATGATCCATAAATTATATTATCTACATTTACAGCATTTAAAATGTGTTCAGCATGAAATATTAGTTACAGGATAAGTGAAATAAATTAAACATGGAATAAAGATTTATCCTTAAATATAAATTACAAGAAGACTTGGTATTAGTTTTTCACAAGTGAAGCATTCTTATAAAATGTCATAACCTTTTTGGGGAAACTCTGGGAAAAATGGAGAAACTCTGAAGGGTTTTAAGTATCTTTCCTGAAGCTACAGACTCCATAATCTCTCTTTACAGGGAGCTCCTGCAGCTCCAACAGAAATGAGTGGCTGAGATTCCTGGTTGCAGAGCAGAGCTTCTCATCCAAACCCTTTCCCTTTTTAGTGTCTGTGTATCAGTATAAAAGTTCTATAAACTGTAGTTACTTATTTTAATCCCAAAGCACAGTAACAATATATTTCATCCAAGGGTTGGCAGTTTCTGTGAGTGTTTTGTCTAATTCTCCAAAACTCTATCTACAGGATTCCAAACAGCCTAAAAAGTAAAATATTTTAAAAAGGGGAAAGGGAGAAAGGGAAAGAAAATAAAATTAATAGCCCATTCTGTCACTGTTATTAAACACCAGAATACCTTTCTGTTAATCTAATTAAAATTAGTGACATCATTTAACATTTATGTCTTCAACAAAAGTTTGGAATCCTGAAAAAGACATTTAATTTCCTAATAAATATATTTGAATTGAATTGAAATCCTTACATATTACTTTAAATAAAGAACACAAGATGATTTATGATGTAGAAAATTCTATCCCTCATTGTCCAAAATCTAATAGTTAAATTGAACTTGTTAAATAATATTTTTGGCCAGGCATGTGGCTTACATCTGTAATCCCAATACTTTGGGAGGCAAAGGCAGGTGGATTGCTTGAGCTGAGTAGTTGCAGACCAGGCTCGGCAACATGGTGAAACCCAATCTTTACCAAAAAAAAAAAAAAATTTTAGCCAGGCGTAGTGGCTTGCCTGCCTGTAGTCCCAGCTACTCAGGAGGATGAGGTGGGAGGATCACCGGAGCCTGGGGAAGCTGGGGCTGCAGTGAGCCATGATTGTGCCACTGCACTCCAGCTTGGGCAACAGACTGAGACCCTGTCTCAAAGAAAGACAGAAAGAAAGACAAGAAAGACAAGAAAGACAAGAAAGACAAGAAAGAAAAGAAAGAAAGAAAGAAAGAAAGAAAGAAAGAAAAGAAAGAAAGAAAGAAAGATAAAGAGAGAAAGGAAGGAAGGAAAATTAATAGTTTTGGTGGCAATAATCTTTATGGAATTTTGCTTTAATGAAATAGATTTAACTAAGTAGTGACATGATCTGCTTAAGTGTATTGACCCTAGCAATCAGAGGCCTCCGTATCCCCACAATGACTTAACAGTTACATTTGACAAGCCTTGATTCTCCTATCCTACGCACAGCATAGTCAGAATTTCAGAATTCCAACTTTCCCCATGCTATTTGGGCACGTTGCTTAACATCTCTAAGACTCGATATTTATACTCTTAAGATACTACTAATAATAGTACCTAGTTTTTATGATATAATGTGCATCAAAAGCATTATACTTTCAGGCAGATGGCAATTCCTCAATAAATATTTGCTAATGTTTTAGTACAAACAGGAAAATTGGATTATGATATTTATGACACTGTTGATTCTCCTTCTAGAAACATTTGTTTCTAAAACTTGTTTTCAAATTAGAGCACTATTTTGTATTCAGATTGAAAATACTATATGTTCAGATTTTTTAAAAAACAGTATTGCATGAATGTTTTAATTAAAATATTCCTAAATGAGCTTGAGCAAGGAGGACAGGGGAGATAAGTAAAATAAGGCTTTGTGGCATAGGAGACATTTGGTGGAAATCTTTCAGCTCAACTAAGATTTGAAAAAAAAAGAGAATTTTTATAAAAAATGTAAAGGCAGGATTTACACTGATGAGCTTGTGGAGAAAATACAGAGTCTAACATAATTCAAAAGAGACTAATCAGTCAAAGTGGTTTTGAAGGAATATCTTGAAGAGAGAGAACATAAAATGAAGATCAGGTATGTAGTTATTTTAATAATCTATCCATGAGATAAAAAGCATTGGGTTTTATTTGTCAAAATGGGACAATAGTTCCAAGAACCATTATTTGCTCAGCCTAAAGAGGTTTTTACATTTTGAACCAGCGACATATTGTGCTAAGTAGGATAATATCCAAATTTGTGTCTATATCAATAATTTTGTTCTCAATTAAAAACACTTTATTCACACAACTGATGATTATCTGCATTTGATTTAGTGCTGAACTGTCAAAGGGGGACTAACAAAAACAAAATATTAGAGTTGCAAGCAGTGTAAGTGGAAAATAATGATCATATTGAACTCATCATTACTGAAATAAGAAAACAAAGCAAAAAATAAATAAGAAAAAAATTGACTACGTGAACATTTGCTTCTCTCCTAAGAATCAAAACCCTTAATTTGCTGTGGCAAAAAAGCATCTGGGTCCATGAACCCATGCAAAAGTCTACTGTTTCTGGGAGATAAGAAGAAGCAAAACACATCAGCTTCCAGAGAAGGTTAAGAAACCTCTCATACCCTACCCTACCCCACCTGACACCAGGCAAAGGATCACTGCTTCTGGGAGAGGGATGCAAGAAAAATACTCCTCCATCAGGAGAGGAACAAGGATTGTTTTGGGGCCCAGGATTTTGCACTAATGCAGAGTCGTGCTACTGTGGTAAAGGTTTGGAAAGTCTCCATCCGGTGACCACAGACAAAGGTACATTGTTCCTATGGAAGGAGAAATAAAAGAGTTTGCCCTTATTGTGGGGTTGAAAACTTGCAATGATATAAATCAGGGGTTTTCTACTACTGAGGTGGGAGGAGGGTAAGGTATTATTTCTTCTGCAAAAAACAACACAGGTAAGTGACAGTTTGACTCCCACTAGAAAAAGAGTCAAGAAGTGTTAAAAATACCCCATCTCTGAGTGTCCAATGATGAAACTGGCTCAAAAACAACACAAACCATCCCTCTGTCCCCAACCTGAATTTTTTGCCTAGTCACACACACACACACAAAATGATGTTCTACAGTTAGAGAAGAACAAGAAAGTGGAGAGAGACCCTCTCTATAACATAGGTTGTAAGGACTACCGAAAGCTAACTGTGGAACAGGATCATTGGCATATGCTCTCCAGAGTCTAAGGCCCCACACAAGGCACATCATATAGCAGTCTACTGCTGGAGAAATCTGAGTTACATTGTTCACTGAATGTTTCAGACACCGCAGCAAAAAGCAACCTTTGTTCCTGCCCACACTAATAGCATGACACAAACAAAAATGAAACAGAAATGTAAAACAATCTCGACATAAATAATTATCTCATGATCTACTGTTTTTCTACATCAGATGATTTGCATTTTTTAGAAATTGGGAGACACATAAAAGCAAGTTAGAAATTTGAGTTATGAGTTATAATATTTTCAAAGGATAAAAAGTCAACAGAATCAAATTCAGAGATAATTCAGATGTTGGAACTAAATGAAAGTAATTTAAAATAATAATGATCAAAATGTTAAAGGATCTAGTTAAAAAAAGACAACATGTATGGAAAAATGAGGAATTTCAGCAAAGATGGGAACAGTAAAAGGCAAAATCTAGAAATAAGTGAAAGCATGAGAACAGAGATGAAGTATTACATCAGCAAGCTGATTAGCAGACTGGTCATCAGAGTTAAAGAAAGAAGCAGTAAATTTTATACTAGGTCAATACAAATCATTTGAATGGTAGCACAAAGGGAGGAAAGAGAAAAACCAAATAAACCAATGAACCAAGCAAATAAAATACTCCAGTGAATCAAAGAATTTTCTGGTAATATGAAATTAACCAAAATACAATTAATTGGAATTACAGAAGGAGAGTAAAAACAGAATGTGAGAGAAGAAAAATTTGAAAAAGATGACTGAGGAGACCAAATAACCTCAAAATATACAAGAAAGATTAATACAAAATTTAAAGAACGCTAGAATAATCACACTAGTGAAACTGCTGAAAACCAACGATTAGCATAAATCTTGAATTCAGTCACAGAAAAAATAAGAACACTGTGTAGAGAGATAAACAGAAACAAACATTGTAATGAACTGCTTGTCAGTAACTCTACAAGTCAGAAACCAATGATACAAAATTCTTAAATAACTGAAGAAAAGTCAACCCCCAATCTTATATCCATTAACTGTAATACAGCAAAAATAACAATTAAATGACATTTGCAGATTAACACTGGAAGAGTCCCTTGCTAACAGGTATGCACTAAAATAAATGTCAAAATCATTTCTTGAGGCAAAAGGAATATGGAAGCAGGTGAAAGTTGAAACTACACAAAGAAATAAATAATGCCAGAGAAGATATAAAGATATATAACCCAATTATTTTACATTGCTCTAAAGATAATTGATTGTCTAATTTTTTAAAAAAAGAGTAACTTTATATTATGGAATTCATAATATTTGAGACTATAATGCATGACATAAATAGTATAAAGGAGAGAGGAAACAGAAATATACATTTTAAGGTTTTTATACCATAGTTGGTATAGTACAAATTATAGGTTACTGTAATAAGCTAGAATAGGTATTGAAATCTCTAGAGAAACCATGAACATTTTTAAAAAATGGTATGTGCATTAATGTTTTCATAGAACTTCCAGCTTTTATTTATTTGTTTGTATTCATTTAATTTTATTTATTTTTTTTGAGATGGAGTCTCGCCCTGTTGCCCAGGCTGCAGTGCAATGGTGTGATCTCAGCTCACTGCAACCACCTCCGCCTCCCAGGTTCCAATGATTCTCCTGCCTCAGCCTCCTGAGTAGCTGGGATTACAGGTGCCCACCACCATGCCCAGCTAATTTTTGTATTTTTAGTAGAGACGGGGTTTCACCATGTTGGCCAGGCTTGTCTCAAACTCCTGGCCTCATGATCGGCCCACCTCAGCTTCCCAAAGTGCTGGGATTACAGACTTGAGACACCGTGCCAGGCCCCAGCTTTTAGTTTTTAAGGTAGTTGTTGTGTTATTACATGTGAAGTAAGGTTATTCTTAAATATCCATGTTTTGAGAATTAATGATAATGACAAGTTAATTTATCTCAATCTAAATGACATTTTAATATTAAATATTTAAATATTTTTATTACTTTTCCTTTTTAACAGAAGTCATTCTAACTGGTGTGAGATGGTATTTCACTGATGTTTTGTTTTGCATTTCTCTGATGATTAGTGATGGTATGCATGTGTTAATATGTTTGTTGGCCACATATGTGTTCTTCTGAAAACTGTTCACGTTCTTTGCCCATTTTTTAATGGGGTTATTTATTTTTTGCTCGTTGATTTGCCTAAGTCTCTTATGGCTTCTGGATAATAGGCCTTTGCTGTATGCATAGTGTGTGAATATTTTCTTCCACTCGGTAGGCTGTCTGTTCAATCCCTTGAGAGTTTCTCATGCTGTGCAGAAGAAGCTCTTTAGTTTAATTAAATCATACTTGTCAATTTTTATTTTTCTGGCAATTGCTTTTGAGGACTTACCCATAAATTCATTGCCAAGTGCAATGTCCAGGTGAATATTTCCTAGGTTTTCTTCCAGGATTTTTATAGGCAGAGGATGTAATCTCATGTCAATGGGTCTTAATAATCAAATGACTCCACACTGAGAATCATTACTGTGAAAAATCGATTTTGTTATAATGATAGAAATTTAAACATATAAAAGTAAAAACAGATGCCACCTCTTTGCTAGAACTCTACAAGGCAAATTACTATAAGAGAGCCATTGCAGTGAAATAAGTGAAAGCACATTATAAATAAACTTACCTGATTTTACAAACTAACCTGTAAAGGGATTTGTACTAATTTTTCCATTGCCTGCATTGCCCTTTCTTCTAGATCCAATTTATATTTTTGTACTTCACCAATGTGTCTTCACCAATGTGTACTTTCCATACGTTTTTTAAGATTTAATATTACTTTTTCCAACATCTTTTTAGCCTCCTCAAGATTTTTACATTCCTGTTGTATTTTTTCATACATAATAACTCCTGTTGAATACCTTGATTGTTTTGAGTCAAACAGACATATTTTGAAGATACAGCTTCCAGCTCTGCTGTAAGATCATCAAACTACATTAATAAAATAATATAACTTGAAAATGAAGTAGGCTGAGAATAATCTCATACAAAACCAGTAACAAATTTTGAAATACATTTACTTGCAATAAAATGTTATCTATAATGTAGATTCTTTAAATGTTAACCCTTAAATTACTCAGAAATTCAAGAACAAAGTAAAAGCCACCATAAGTCACATATATTCTTTACTATCATCTTTGCCACAGAACTTTTGCACTTGATCTTTCTTTTACTTTTCTGATAATTTGTGTTTTTTCCTCCTTAAATGGCTCTATGTTAACTCTTATTAGAAAGTTTCAAACCCCTTTCTCTCATCATCGTGCCCCAAAATTTGTCAAAAAAAGTTTCAGAGATATAATATTGAGTTATTTAGGCCAAAGTCAATAAATGGCTCTTAGAATAAGACTTTGAAAATAATGTAATACTCTATGCTAGGCATGGTGGCTCATGCCTGTAATCCCAGCACTATAGGAGGCTGTGGCAGAAAGATTACTTGAGGCCAGGAATTTGAAACCAGCCAGAGCAACATAGTGATAACATAATCTCGACAAAAAATTTTATTTAAAATTAACCAGGCATGGTGACTTATGCTTGTAGATCCAACTAGTTGGGAGACTAAGGCACAAGGATGGCTTGGACTCAGAGTTCATGGCTGCAGTGAATTATGACCAAGCCACTCCACTTCTGCCTGGATGACAGACAGAGACCATATCTCAAAAAAACACAAAATAATCCTATAAATAAGGATTCTAATGCCATAAGCCTTTCCCTAGGCTGTAAATGTTTTATGCTAATTTGAATTGCATTTTTAAAAGTAATGACTCTTGGGGTAGAGGCCATAGAATACAGCACCCAGATATAAATCCACATATTTGCCTTACAAGAAATAAATCCACATTCTTGCCTTACAAGAGCTCCTGAAGGAAGCACTAAACATGGAAAGGGACAAACAGTATGAGCCACTGGGAAAACATACCAAATTGTAACGACCATCGACACTATAAAGAAACTGCATTAACTAATGGGAAAAATAAACAGCTAACAACATCATGACAGGATAAATTTCACATGTAACAATATTAACCTTAAATGTAACTGGGCTAAATGCCCCAGTAAAAAGACACAGACTGGCAAGTTGGAAAAAGACTCAAGACCCATTGGTGTGCTGTATTCAGGAGACCCATCTCACATGCAAAGACACACACAGGCTCAAAATAAAGGGACGGAGGAATATTTACCAAGCAAATGAAAAGCAAAAAAAAAAAAAAAAAAAAAAAAAAAAAAAAAAAAAGCAGGGGTTGCAATCCTAGTCTCCGATAAAACAGACTTTAAATGGAAAAGATCAAAAGAGACAAAGGGCATTACAAAGCAGTGCCATCTGCTTTTCCTCAGGACTCTGCTCCATCAGCCATCAGGTGGCAGCCATTCAGGCTGTTGGAACCTGGCCATCCATGCTTCTTTGAGTGGGTGAGATTAAAGGCTGGTCCAACTGCACCAGGAGCATGCTTGCAGAGGTGGCTGCTTGCTCTTTGAGCCAGCTTGGCTTTGCCTGGCATGCACAGGCCCCAGGTACTGACACGCTACTCTGAGTGAGCGTGTCATGCCTGGGGCCAAATTCTAAGTCTGGCCAGGGTCACAAAAGGCTGAGTCCCCTAGGTTGTAATCCTGGCTGCTTTCTGCACTTGAACATAAAGTCCTCCACAAGATGGCCTGTGATCTGCCTCTTGGCAACCAAGAAGCCCACGGTGCCATATGAGCCCTGAGGCATGGACTGGAGCCCCAAAGGCAGTGTACACCCTGCTCCTGAGCCTGCTGGTCATTTTCTGTGTGGCTCCATTTGTAGCACAGTTGTTGCACTGAGGCTTGTGAATGCCAGGCAAGGCCAAGCTGGCTCAAAGAGCAACCAGCCACCTCTGCAAGGATCCACCTGGAGCAGGTGGACCAGCCACCAACCTCACCCACTTAAGAAGCAGGGAATGTGTGTTTGTACCATGCATTGCACTACAAGTACATTTCTCCTGAGTTTGGTGGCCTAGGTTTTCTTCTAGGTTTTTTATGGTTTTAGGTCTTAAGTTTAACTCTTCAATCCATCGTAAGTTAATTTTTGTATAAAGTGTAAGGAAGTGGCCCAGTTTCAGTTTTCTGCATATGGCTAGCCAGTTTTCCTAACACCATTTATTGAATAAGGAATCCTTTCCCCATTGCTTGTTTTTGTCAGGTTTGTCAAAGATCAGATGGTTTTAGATGTGTTGTGTCATTTCTGAGGCCTCTGTTCTGTTCCATTTGTCTATATATCTGGTTTGGTACCAGTACCATGCTGTTTTGGTTACTGTAGCCTTGTAGAATAGTTTGAAGTCAGGTACCGTGATGCCTCCAGCTTTGTTGTTTTTGCTTAGATTGTCTTGGCTACGCGAGCTCTTTTTTGGCTCCATATGAAATTTAAAGTAGTGTTTCTAATTGTGGGAAGAAAGTCAATGGTAGCTTCATGGAGATGGCACTGATTCTATAAATTACTTTGGGAGATATGGCATTCAGGCACAGAAATGTCCTTGTGTTAGGCAATACCATTCAGGACATAGGCATAGGCGAAGACTTCATCACTAGAACACCAAAAGCGATGGCAACAAAAGCCAAAATTGACAAATGGGATCTAATTAAACTAAAGAGTGTCTGCACAGCAAAAGAAACTATCATCAGAGTGAACAGGCAACCCTCAGAAAGGGAGAAAATTGTTGCAATCTATCCATCTGACAAAGGGCTAATATGCAGAATCTATAAAAACTTAAACAAATTTACAAGAAAAAAACAAACAACCCCATCAAAAAGTGGGCAAAGGATATGAACAGACACTTCCCAAAGGAGACATTTACGCAGCCAATGAACATGTGAAGCAAAGCACTGGTCATTAGAGAAATGGAATTCAAAACCATGATGAGATACAATCTTACGCCACTTGGAATGGCCATCATTAAAAAATCAGGAAACAACAGAAGCTGGAGAGGATGTGGAGAAATAGGAATGCTTTTACACTGTTGGTGGGAGTATAAATCAGTTCAACCATCGTGGAAGACAGTGTGATGATTCCTCAAGGATCTACAACTAGAAATACCATTTGACCCAGCAATCCCATTACAGTGTATATACTCAAAAAAATATAAATCATTCCAATATAAAGACACATGCACACGTATGCTTATTGCGGCAGTGTTCACAACAGGAAAGACTTGGAACCAACCCAAATGCCCACCAATGATAGACTGGATAAAGAAAATGTGGCATATATACACCATGGAATACTATGCAGTCATAAAAAAGGATGAGTTCATATCCTTTGCAGGGACATGGATGAAGCTGGAAACTGTCATTCTCAGCAAACTAACACAAGAACAGAAAACCAAACACCACATGATCTCACTCATAAGTAGGACCTGAACAATGAGAACACATGGACACAGGAAGGGAAACATCACACACAAGGGCCTGTCAGGGTGGGGGGCTAGAAAAGGGATGGCATTAGATCATGGGTTGGTGCATGCAGCAAGCCACCATAGCATGTGTATACGTATGTAACAAACCTGCATGTTCTGCACATGTACCCCAGAACTTAAAGTATAATTAAAAAAAAATAAATTTGCTTTTAATTAAGCTTTTCAACATAGAACTTGTAAAGAAAATACTTCTGAATCTTTTACTACCACATCATAGCTGGGACAAACTGCTGATATTTTAAAAGTAACACAAATATCAAACAGAAAGAACTAGACTTAGGAACCAAACTCAGGTTTCTGTAGTGAACAGGGCAGAATCTTAACTTTGGGTCGCCACCACTACTCCCTCAGTTTGGCCTTGGCTAGCAAAAGATGCAACCACTTATGTAAAAAATAAAAATAAAAAAGTTAAAAAAATCATTTCTGCTAACTGGAATTTTTTTTTTTTTTGCAGCCACATGAGTTTTAGCCAATTCAGAAGCCTTGTTCCCCACAATTTGGAGCATTCTTTGGATTTGACCAAGTCAGGAAGAGATGGGAGAAAAGTGAAACAACAACAACAAAACCCCAAACATAAACAAACAAAAAGAGTTAAGCAAAACAAACAAATGCACAATTCATATGATTACTGAGTGTTCTAATGGTAACGAGAAATTAAAAGCAGCTGGTGAGTAATCTTAAATTTTAGTCATTAAGGAAAAATTTTAAGACAAAACTCTAATTCAGCTACTTACCTGGAAATAAGTCTCAGGCTGGTGATTGTTCTCTGCCATCTTAGAAGCTGGAAAAAACTTACACTCACCTTCCCTGTCAGAAGCAAGCTGAAACTCAAGAAAGGAGGTGCCTGCTCTCCATCATCACGGAAGCAGGAAAACTTGCCTTGTTGGAAATAAGTAAAACTTCAGAAAAGGAGTTGTATAGCAAAATCAACCTTAGATCTCAACCAAATTTTGGGAGATCAGGGATTCTCTGCAGGGGAGAAGCTCCCTAACCTCAGCACATTATCCTATTGGTTTGGGCAATAAAGATAGCCCAGGTTGGTATCAAGCAATAATGAGATTTATCAAAGGTCAGGACCACCTTTGTAATCTCCTTCTCTCTTTTTTTTTTTTTTTTTTTTTTTTTTTTTGAGACGGAGTCTCACTGTCTCGCCTGGGCTGCAGTGCAGTGGCACGATCTTGGCTCACTGCAAGCTCCACTTCCCAGGTTCACACCATTCTCCTGCCTCAGCCTCCCAAGTAGCTGGGACTACAGGCACCCGCCACCATGCCCAGCTAATTTTTTGTATTTTTCGTAGAGACGGGGTTTCACCGTGTTAGCCAGGATGGTCTCGATCTCCTGACCTTGTGATCCATCTGTCTCAGCCTCCGAAAGTGCTGGGATTACAGGCGTGAACCACCGCGCCCAGCCCTCTGTCTTTTTTTTTTTCTTTTTAATCTTTATTGGTATAGTCTGCTTTGTCAGAAACTAGGAGTGCAACACCTGCTTTTTTCTATTTTCCATTTCCTTGAAATATTTTTCTCCATTCCTTTATTTTGAGCCTATGTAGGGCACTGCATGTGAGATGGGTTTCTTGAAGATGGCATACTCCAATGGGTCTTGGTTCTTTATCCAGCTTGCCCCCTGTGTCTTTCAATTGGAGCATTTAGCCCATTTCCATTTAAGGTTAGTAATGGTATGTGTGGATTTGATCCTCTCGTCATGCTGTCAGCTGGCTTTTTTGCAGACTTATGTATGTGGTTGGTTTTTAGCATCACTTGTCTGTGTACTTCAGTGTGTTTTTGTAGTGGCTGGTGGTGGTCTTTTCTTTCCATATTTAGTGCTTCCTTCAGGAGCTCTTGTAAGGTAGGTCTGGTGATAATGAATTCCCTCAGCATTTGCTTGTCTGAAAAGGATCTTGTTTCTCCTTCACTTATGATGCTTAATTTTGCTGGACATGAAATTCTGGGTTGAAATTTCTTTTCTTTAAGATGTTGAATATCTTTTCTGGCTTGTACAGTTTCAGTTGAGAGGTCTGCTAAGTCTGATGGAATTTCCTTTGCAGGTGATGTTGCCTTTCTCCCTAGCTGCCTTTAACACTTTTTCTTTCATTTTGACCGCAGAGAATCTGATGATTATGTGTCTTGGGGATGATCTTCTCATGGCATATCTTACTGAGGTTCTCTGGATTTCCTGAAGTTGAGTGTTGGCCTGTCTGGCTAGGTTGGGGACATTCTCATGAATGATATTCTGAAATGTGTTTTCCAAGTTGGTTCCATTCTCCTCATCTCTTTCAGGTACATTAATCAGTCATAGATTTAGTCGTTTATATAATCCCATATTTCTCGGATGTTTTGTTCATTCCCTTTCATTCTTTTTTCCCCCATTCTTGTTTGCCTGTTTTATTTCAGAAAGCCAGTTTCCAGGTTCTGGGATTCTTTCCTCTTCTTGGTCTATTCTGTTGGATGGTCTTGCACATGAGATGGAGCTGGTCTGACCTCAGCCCTCCCTAGTCTGCTTGCCTCTCCCAGGACCCCAGCCTGGCCACATCTGCTTACAGGGCACTCTCAGGTGCCCACACATACTACAATAATTTTCATAATGCAATCACACACAATCACCGTGTGACTGCATTATGAAAATTCTTCTAGTGTGATTTACAGCTCTGTCAGGTCAGTTATTTTCTTCTTTATACTTGCTATTTTGTCTGTTAGTTCCTGCAATGTTTTACAATGATTTTTAGCTTCCTTGTATTGGATTACAACATACCTCTTTCACTCAGGGAACTTTGTTCCTACCCATATCCTGAACTCTGCTTGTATCATTTCAGACATCTCAGCCTCAGCCCAGTTCTGAACACTTGCTGGAGAGTTGATGCAGTCATTTGGAGAAAAGAAAGCATGCTGAATTTTTGAGTTTTCAGTGTTCTTGCACAGTCTTTTTCTCATCTTTATGGGCTTATCCACCTTCAATCTTTGAGGCTGCTGACCTTTGGACAGGGTATTTTTCCTTTATTATATCTGATGACCTTGAGGATTTGATTGTGGTGTAAGGTGGATTCAGCCAACAGGTTTTGTCTTTGGAGGATTTTAAGGGGCCAACATGCAGCTCCCAATTCTTGGACTGTGTGCTTTAACTCTGGGGAACTTGTATTGGGCCACAACTTTGTTCTCTGGCTCCTCGAGGTTTGGAGTCCACCGCACTGAGGGGACCAAAGTGCGGCAGCTGTGGCAGAATGCTAGCAGATGCAAAAGTCCCTGCCTCCCTGTGGGCATTCACCTAGTGGTGGAGGCAAAACAGCTGGGGTGTGGGCCAGGGGGCCCCTGCTGACTGTGTGTGCTGTTGCACTGGAGGTAGTTCTGGTTTGGGGTGGGTGGCTGGCCAGTGAAGGTGCCTTCTCTGATCCCCCCCAAGCAACAGTGGTCACTCAGGGTATAAGAAGGTCCCTTTTCCTCTGCACAGCATTACCTCAAGGGTGAGATGCTAGCAGGGGTGGGGTTTTTGGTTCTGTGCCCACCATGGCTTCATCTTCAGTGGCAGTTGGTGTGGGTTGGGGTGTGTGCTGCATTCCCATATGCTGTTAGGGCAAGTACAACAAAACCCACCTGTGTAAACACACACAGCTAAGTGATGTAGAAAGTTTCCATATAAAGGGCTGCAGTATGGAGAGGTAATGTGCAGGCTGGTACGTGGCTGTAGAGGTCACCTTGCTGCAGCTCTCCACTGATCAGCCACGGTCCGCTTGTACAGAAGCTATGGTGTGGGCACCCAGAAGTGCCCTCTAAGCAGGTGTGGCCTGGCTGGGGTCCTGGGAGAGGCAAGCAGACTAAGGGGTGCTGAGGTCAGACCAGCCCCATCTCATGTGCAAGACTGCCCAGCAGAGATCAGGTCTCAGAGGAGAACTCTCTCAAAAGTGAATCCTCAGCACAGCACAACTGCTCTACACAAACGCGGCCAGACTTCTTTTTTAAGCAAGTCCCCCTTTTTAGGAAGAGAACTCTTAGACCTGATCTGTGCTGGGCAATCTTGCACGTGAGATGGGGCTGGTCTGACCTCAGCACTCCTTAAGTGCTGGGATAAAGTGTCTCATAAGAGCAAGTGGAGCCTAGAGACATAGATGTCCCTGCCCTCCGGGCTCCACATCAGCTGACTTGCTGCTCCACCACTTTCCTTGTCTCCTGGGGGCTCCACCCCAGAGAGGTGTAAGTTAGGAGTTACTTAATGTAATCACCCCAGGATGGAGGGTCTGTGCTGTGGGCCCAAGCCAGGGTTCCTTGTCTGGTGATGAGCAGTAAGGGGTGTGTTGTACCCGTGGAAGATGGACTGACTTGTTCCTTGTGTCAACTGCAGCTTGTTGGAGGTGTCAATATGGCACTTAGGGTCTTTGCTCCCTTGATATTCTGAGGGTAGCAAGGGCAGTTCCACTGCAGAGGCAGTGGCAGAGAGGATTTCTGTTGCTCCTGGAAGCTCTGTCCAGGGAGTTGCTGAGTTGCTACTGGCTTGAAGGCTCAAGTGGGGGGCTGGCTGGAGACCCAGGCCAGGAAGACCTGCCCATCATGGCCCACCCCTCTCTCTGGGAACTCTGTCCCAGGAAGGTTTCAAATCTCCATTGGCCAGGGAACACTGGTGGGTGTAGCTGGAGGCCTCAGGTGGGAGATCCTGTCCAGTGACGAGGAACAGGATCAGGGGCCTGCTTACAGAAGCATTCTGGCCATGATTTGGTAAAGCAGCTGTGCTATGCCACAGGATCTCTTCTGTCCCTGGTGAGTTTGTACTCTCCAAAGCCCGCACGCTGGAATGACTAAGTTGCCCAAACAGGAAAGATGGTGGCCTGCCTCATCTTTTCTCTCAGAATTTATCCTGTGTGATGGAGCTTAATTTTTAGGTTGTTAATTTTACTGTCAGCGTTAGAGTTGTTCAGAAAGAATCTCACTGTTATCTTTTAGGTGAGATATATAAGAATTCATTTTCTCCTGTAAATAAACCTGTTGATGTTTGTTCTCTGGAAAGAAGTCCCTTTCAGCTATCTGACTTTGATCACAATCATGTAGAGCAGTAGTCAGTCTACAATGACATGATTGAATTTCCATTTCCAGTGTTTCCTAGTTGTGTCTTACATTCTCCAGTTCAGAACTGAGCATTCTCAGTTGTCAAAATCCTAAGCTGTCCACTGTACTTAAATACTGGTTTTCGTTAATGCTTCTTCATTCAGTTGTATAGTCTTTAGAAGTTTTTCTTTTACACTTTCAATTTCCTCCAAAATTTTATTTTCCCTTAGCTGGTTCTGATGTTTTGTTTCATCTAGTTCCAGTCTTAGCTTGGCAATTTCTTCCCGCAACATGCTGTTTTCACGCAAGAGATCTTCTTCTTTCTTATGACTAAGAGAAAGCTAAGTAAACAAAGGGAACTTTTAGTTAGCACTCAATAGAATGACATATCATGATTTCTTCTAAAATCAAAGAATGACATTTATATTTGTATAATGAAATAATTCCCATAGTGGATATTTAACTGGAAAAAAGTTGGACAAAACTTCAAATCTAGAAGAGTGTAAATTCCAAAAAGTTGAAATATTTATCTAAAGACCATGAAAAATAAATCACTAGAGGATTTTTAAGAATTTCAGAATTGGAAAAGCCTTTCTCTGAATTACAAAAAACCCAGAGGCATAAAATAGAAGATTAATACATTTGGCTACATTTTTTAAATTGGGTTTACACTCTGATATCTAACCTACAAACCACACCATCATAAGAGCCTCAGCTATGCATATATTAGGACAGAAGCAATTCCTCAAAGTTCTTTAAGTTCCTTTTTCTGAGGAATGTTTTATCAATATACTGCTTTTCTAATATTTTTACAGTCAGTTATAAGAATTACATTTATTCATAACTGTTAAATCTAAGCGTTGTACCCTTCTACAATGTACACACCGGCATCTAAGCATTGCACTTCTACATACAACACTCAACTCATTTAAGATCACGATTCTTAAAAGGAGAGGTCAAAAAATATATGCAGCCAGGACCAGTGGCTCACACCTGTAATCCCAGCACTTCAGGAGGCTGAGGCAGGAGAATCGTGTGAACCTGGGAGGCAGAGGTTGCAGTGAACTGAGTTTGTGCCATTGCACTCCAGCGTGGGTGACAGTGCAAGACTCCATCTAGAATACACACACACACACACACACACACACACACACATATATATATGCAACGTGCAAGATTTTTGCCAGGTCTTCTGATGCTACTGTTAGTGATCCTCCACAAAATCAGTTGCTTCTGTGGTGTAAATATATAAATACAAAAGAAGCCTTTTATTTCAAAATACAAATGGTAAATAAGATATAACTTACAAGGCTTTTCTTAGAAATCATGAGATTATTTGCCATTGCAATAACTTTTCTTTCCTCTTCATAATGTTTGAAACATTATAGTAGTAAGTGTGAAATACGGGAAACGTACTGAACTATTCATCTGGGAACAAAATACTTATCAATAAATTATCACTAAATGTGTATCATGGCATGTCATTGTTTTCAAAGCTCTTTGCATTGAATTGAGAAACTACTCGGAGCAAACTGTTCCTCTCCTCAAAAGCAAGGATAATGACATCCACAATGTGGCCTCTGACCCAGCTGTACATTTCCTACTTTCCTATTAGTGAAAATAACAAACTGACTTCTCTATTAATATTTTAAAAAGAACTAATGTCCCAAAACTAGCAAATCTGTTGTTAGTAGCAAAACTTATTTTTGATATTGGAAAGATAATCAATTCTTATGAAAAATATCAAATGCTTTTCCTTTGGATTGAGGCCATTGTGAAGGTCACTACTCGACTGTTGCAGGCAAATGCAGTTGAATTAAGAACATGGCTTTATCCTATGTGTACATATATAGATATATGACCAAGGATATACAGGGTGTGTGTATATATATGATTTAAAAATCCTTTATACCTTCCAAAATAAAGCTTTTTAAAAATATACACACATATGAAAACATTTGATAATGACTAAAGAAAATACCTCAGAATTCATTTCCTTTTCAGCCACTTCTATCTGCTTTTGTTTATTAGTCAGAATCTCATCTTGTGATATTCCAGTGTTCTGTTCTTCAGAAAGTTGTTTCTGGGTATCATTTTGTTCGTCACTAGAAGAAATTTTAATTTTCATGAAATACTGGAGGTGTCCCTAAAATGATCTACAGGGCAAGATGGCACCATCAGATGTCATTCACACAATGTATATCTGCACATTAATCCAAGACAAGGCAAAGGGGCCTCACATCTGTTAACCCTGCTCTCCCAGTCATGTTGGCACCAGGGACTAGTTTTGTGGAAGATAATTTTTCCATGGACCTGAGGTGGGGGATGGTTCCAGGATGATTCAAGCACATTACATACATTGTGCACTTCATTTCTATTATTACTAATATATAATGAAATAATTATATAACTCACCATCATGTAGAATCAGTGGGAGCCCTCAGCTTATTTTCCTGCAACTAGATGGTCTCATCTAGGGGTGACAGGAGATGGTGACAGATCATAAAGCATTAGATTCTCATCAGGAGTGAACAACCTAGATCCCATGCATGAGCAGCTTGCAATAGGGTTCAAGTCACACTCTTATGAGAATCTAATGTCACCGCTGATCTGACAGGAGGAGCAGCTCAGGTGGTAATGTGACAGAGAGTGGCTGTAAACAGATGAAGCTTCACTTGCTCATCTACCACTAACTTCTTGCTGTGTGGCCCAGGTCCTAACAGGCCAGGGACTGGTACTGGTCTGTGGCCTGGGGATTGGAAACCCCTGTGTTAACTCAAACTTTTTATGTTTATTTTTTGGAAACAGTTTCCACTTATATTCTTGATTCCTCTGTAATTTATAGACAAATTAGAAATTCCCTTTGGAACAAGACAGGGTCTAATATTGTGTTTTTAACATAGAACTTTGAATTAATTTTATCTGTGTATGAGAGAGAGATGTGAAATAAACTGATCATTAATCGCTTTCAATTTCACTTTTATTTCATGCATATTAAGAAGAAAACTGGGAAGCCCTAGGCAGAGCAATTGGGCAAGAGAAATAAAGGGCATCCAAATTGGAAAAGAGAAAGTCAAACTCTCTCTTCACCAATGATATGATCTTATGCCTAGAAAACCCTACAGACTCCTACAAAACACTCCTAGATTTGATAAATGAATTTAGTAAAGTCTCAGAGGTTACAAAATATACAAATACCAATGAATAGTACCACTATACACCAACTACAACCAAGCTGAGAGTCATATCAAGAATCCAATCCTTTTTACAATGGCTGCAAAATAGTAAAATACCTAGGAATATACTTAATGAAGGAGGTGAGTGATCTATCAAAGGATAACTGGAAAACGCCACTGAAGAAAATCATAGATCATACAAATAAATGAACATACATTCTATGTTCCTGGACTGAAAGCATTGATATTGTGAAAATGCCATAGTGCCCAAAGTAGTCTACAGAGTCAATACAGTTTCTACCAAAGTACCAATGTCATTCTTCACAGAGTTATTTTAAAAAGCTGTCATTCATGTAGAACCACAAAAGAGCCTGAATAGCAACAGACATACCAAGAAAAAGGAACAAACATGTTGGCATCAAATTACCTGACTTCAACTCTAAGGCCACAGTAACAAACATCATGGTACTGGTATAAAAGTACATACACAGATCAATGGAACAGAATAGACAACTCAGAAAAAAGGCCACTTACAACCAAATGATCTCTGAGAAAGGATACAAAAACATACACTGGAGAAAGTACACGTTATTCAACAAATGGTGCTGGGAAAAAAAGATAGTCACATATAGAAGAATAAAATTGGATCTCTATCTCTCACCATGTAAAAAATTAATTCAAGATGGATTAATGGCCTAAACCTAAGACCAGAAGACATTAGCCTAGGCAAATAATTTATGATGAGGACCCTGAAAGCAAAAGCAACAAAAATAAAAATAAATAAATAAATAAATAAATAAATAAAGACCTAATTAAACTAAAAAGCTTCAGCACAGCAAAAGAAATAATCATCAAAGTGAGCCAACCACTTATACAATGGGGAAAATATGGGCAAATTATGAATCTAACAAAGGATTAATGTCCATAACCTACCAGAAGCTCAAACAAATCAGCAGGAAAAATACAAACAATTCCATTAAAAAGTGGGCACATGACATGAATAGACATTTTTCAAAAGAAGATGTACAAATGGTGAACAAGAATATAAAAACATGCTAAATATTACTAATCATCAGGGAAATGTACAATAAAACAACAGTGAGATATCACCTCACTTCAGCCAGAATGGTCACTACTAAAATAAAAAAAACAGCAGATGTTGGTGTGGATGTGGTGAAAAAAGAAGATTTATACACTGCTGGTGGGGATACAAATTAGTACAAATCTATGGAAAACATTATGGAGAGTTCTGTTAAAGTAGATCTTACCATTCTATCCAGCATTCTCATTTCTGGATACCTACCCAAAATAAAAGAAATCATACTCTCAAAAAGACACCTATATACATATGTTTACTGCAGCACAATTCACATATGCAAAGATATGTTATCAGCCAGTGTCCATCAACTGATGAGTGGAATAAAGAAAATTATATATATATATATATATATATATATATATATATATATATATATATATATATATGTATGTATGTATACCTGAGACTGGGTAATTCATAAAGGAAAGAGGCTTAATTGATTCACAGTTACACATGGCTGGGAAGGCCTCAGGAAACTTACAATCATGGCAGAAGGTAAAGGGGAAGCAGGCAACTTCTTCAAAAGGTGGCAGGAGAGAGAGAAGTGAAAGGGAAAGAGCCCATTATAGAATTATCTGCTCTTGTGAGAACTCACTATCAAGAGAACAGCATGGAGGAAACCGACCCCATGATCCAATACCTCCCAGCTGGTCTTTCTCTCAACACCTGGGAATTACAATTTGACATGAGATTTGGGTGGAAACACAAAGCGAAACTATTGGGGGGGGTGTATCCTTACTTTTAAAATATCAAAATGTCATTATTTATATTTCAAAAATAGCAATTTTTATTAGTAATGATTTTGTTTGAAAATAAAATGACCTGGTAAATTTTCTTCAATTTTAGCCTAGTATTTAGTCAAAATATAAAAAGCTGAATTTGCCAGCAGAAAACTGTAATTACTTTTAAATGAGGTAAAGATGTATAAGAATATCACTGTTATTGTACTGAGAAGAAAGTGAATGAGAAAAGGAATTTAAAAAGAGAGTATCACTACCATATACATACATGAACTGACAAAGAGACTAAAATCTCCTACTGGAGATTATGTTAGGACTTGAGCAAAAGCTTCTAAAAATACCAAAAACAGAAAGAAAATAATTAATTTTAAGGAATAAATTATACAGAGAAATACGTATTTTAAAAAAGGAAAACAGATCTTCCTGAGAGCTATTATTAACCAATTCATCCTGACCAAAATTTTAAAATGAAGTCTACAATTCTGGAATATAAAGTACTTTCATTTTGAACATAGTTAATTGAAGGCAACTTTTATACAGAAAATTTTTGGTTAAAGTTGACTCTAACTTAGGAAAGAAATGACTTGTACCAATGGTAACAACAAGCCACCCAAAAGCCAGTTTGAAATCTAGTCAATCAATCAATGACCACTGCTCTTGCTCACCAACCAATATCAATGTGAGCAGCTTGCTTCTGAAATACAGCCACGCAGCAGCACCTGCTCCACCAGAATAGACAGTGCCTGACCAGTATTCCTCTTACTATAGGAAGCAAAAAATTCCAACTCTGTATCTTTATTTCAAATACCAAAGGTTCATAATCCCTTGAAAAGAATTTGTAAGTCCATTAAATGTGCCACCCTAATTTTTTTTTAAATAAAATACTAGTGGCCAGGCACAGTGGCTCATGCCTGTAATCCCAGCACTTTGAAAGGCCGAAGTGGGTGGATCACCTGAGGTACAGAGTTTGAGACCAGCCTGACCAACAGGGTGAAACCCCATCTCTATTAAAAATACAAATATTAGCCAGGCGTGGTGGCATGCCCCCGTAATCCCAGCTCCTTGGGCGGCTGAGGGAGGAGAAATGCATGAACCAGAAGGCGGAGGTTGCAGTGAACTGAGATCATACCACTGAACTCCAGCCTGGGGGATACAGCAAGACTCCATCTCAAAATAAAATAAAATACCAGTAAAGTTTACAATTCCTCTGACTCAGTTTACCATAATTACAATTATGTTTACTAGTAAAAGAATAAATAGTGAATAACCACAATATTGGGCTTTTCTCTCTAAATAAAAAAATAATATAAAGAATGTAGCTTATTATAAAGAGCCAAAACAATTTTTAAAATGCATGTAATTACCGGGCAAAACTGTTAGAATGAACCATGTCAAACATTTTTAAAGTGAGAATTAATCAAACAATATATCCAGGATAAACTCCATTCACTCATTTAATAAGTATTTATTAGGTAGCTTCATCCAATATGCTAGGCCTTTTTCTAGGCAGTGAGGATATGGTAGTGAAAAATAAAAACCCCATTCATGAGAGTGAGAAAAACACACAATAACAACAGACAGATAAGGCAAAATATACAGTATGTTAGAGGAGAAAAACTAAAGCAGGAAAATGAAATGTTTATGTGTTTCATGGGGAGGGTGGGAAAGTTGGGGTGGTCAGAAAAGTCCCTGCTGAGAAAGGGGATTTTTTTTTCTAATACAAAAAACCTTTTATTTGTATATCAAAGACTCTAAGAAATGACGACATAAGGTTAACGGCATTGATGTCAAGATACAAATGGGTTTGAAGTTAGAGATGTTAAATCACTTTGTTTCACTGAACCTTCCCTTCATTACGTTAGAGAGCATCCCTGGTAGGCACCCAATTGAACCTCAAGCATGACGCGTCTAGGTAGCACGCTGTTCTTCCTCAGAAAGTGGTTGTTCCTTAATGTCTTTCTTTTTACCCTTTTTCCTCTTCTTCTTAGAAAGGGGGTTTTAAATAAAGAACTGAAGGAATGGAAAGAGAAAGCTAGGAGGATAACTGGGGAAAAAGCATTCCAGACACAGGGAACTGCGAATCACAGAGGTGTGCCTGGCATCTTTAAGCACTAGGGGTAGATAAGGGACGGCAAGAATTCAGTTTGGCTGAAGCAGAGCAAGGGAGATAATTAGGAGGAACTTTGACACATACTCCGAGTGAAATGGGAGATAATCAGAAGGGCTGGGGCAGAGGAATGACACAATTTGACTTATGTTTTAAATACATCCACTGAGTTAAGAATTGATGAAAAGGGAAGTTTTTAAAAACCAGGACTATCAATTCCCAGTCTATGACACTCATCTAGACTGCAGATGAGGGTGGCTCAGATGTACAAGATATGACTGACTTCTGGACATATTCTTCAGGTAGACCTGACAAGATTTACTGAGAGATTAGATGTGAGGTGTCAGAGAGAGAGAGAGATGAGTCAAGAATGACACCGAGATATTTGGCAGAGCAACTGGAAGAGTTGCCCTTAACCAAAAATAGGAAAGACTACATGAGGTGCAGATTTCAGGAAGGACATCAGTAGCCCAATTTTGGATCTGACAAGTGTGTGATACCCAATAACTAACCAAATAGAGACGTCAAGTAGGCAGGCTGATATAGAAATCTGGAATTAAGGAGAAAGATCTGAGCTGGAGACATACATTCAGAAATCACTAGCATATACACAGTAGAAAAAGTCACGAGGGGCCAGGTGCAGTGGCTTACACCTGTAATCCCAACAGTTTGTGAGACCAAGGCAGACAGATCCCCTGAGGTCAGGAGTTTGAGACCAGGGTGGCCAACATGGGGAAATGCTGTGTCTACTAAAAATACAAAAATCAGCTGGGCACGGTGGCATGCACCTGTAATGCCAGCTACTCAGGAGGCCGAAGCAGGAGAATTGCTTGAACCCAGGAGGCAGAGGTTGTAGTGAGCCGAGATCACACCACTGAACTCCAGCCTGGGAGGCAGAGTGAAACTCTGTCTCCAAAAAAGAAAAAGAAAAAGTCACGAGAAAGAAGACTGAGGAGTGAGCCCTGGGAAACAACAATGTCCAAAAGGAGAAAGATGAGGAGGAGCAAGCAAAACAGACCATGATGAATGGACTAGAAAGGCAGGAGGAAAAGCCTGAGGGAGTGAGGTCCTGAAAGCCAAGTGAAGATGCCGTTAGGGAGGAGATGCCCTCCATTGGCTCAAATATTGCTGACAGATTAAATAAAATGAGGTGGAAGAAAAGGGCCTAGATTTATTACAGAAAAAAAAATAGTGATAATCTTGAGGAAAAACAATGCTGGAGGACTGCTGAAATTGAAGACTTACTGGCATGAGATCAAGAGTGAATGAAAAGAAAATTTGAGTTCGTGAGTGTAGACAGTTCTTTTAAGGACATCATACTTAGGAGTCATGGCTGAGAATGTTGTAATTTTCTTCCACAGTCATGGAAAAGTAATGGACAAATAGTTTCAAATTTTACATAAAAGGTGTAGTTTTCAAATTTTATATAACAATTATATATTTTAAAGCTTATAAAAATTATACACATGTGGCATTAAAAATGCCAGACCAAGGTGTTAAATCTTAAAACTATAGAACTAAAAGTTGCCTTGACCATTTCTAGATTACATAAGCTAATTATCATTTTGTTCATGCTTATACATAAAGACCAAGAAAAACTAAAAGTTTCAAGGAGAGTATTTCTTGCTTGATAAAAATCAGCCAATTCTAGGACAGTTGATGCTCATCGAATATACAAAGTAATTGATCACCATAAAATACTGAATTCTATTAACAGGAATAAAGTGGCAGAAATGCAGAAAATAATCTTATTTTACAAATGAAATTTTTAAAATTATATGAAGTCACTGTGGAAAAATATGGTGAGGTGAATACCAAAATATATCCTTTTCTCAAAGGAAAGATAATGTCACACATGCTGGGCACTTTTATAAATAAGTGTTACTGCATTAGCAGCACCTTCCTTTTAGCACAAGGGTCAGCAAATTAGCACCTGTGGGCCAAATCCAGCCCACTGCCTGTTTTTGTAAGTAAAGAATCTTGGAACACAGCCATGCTTATTCACTTTACAGTCCATAGAGTCAATTAGCTGGGTGTGATGTTGCACACTTGGGGTCCCAGCTAATAGAGAGGCTGAGGTGGGAGGATCACTAGAGCCCAGAAAGTCAAGGCTGTAGTGAGCTGTGATCACACAATTGCACTCCAGCCTGGGCAACAGAGACCCTGTCTCAAAAAAAATAAATATATATAGTCCACAAAGCCTAAAAATTTACTAAATGGCTCTTTGCAGAAAAAGCTGGCCAGCTCCTGGTTTAGCAGATGAAAGATACTTTGATATATTTTAATAAAAGTTTTACCCAATATACTCAAATGTTTATATTAAATATAGATCCCCATGTACAATCCCTTGGCAATATTCAGATTGAAGGTCCAATATTTTGGCACTCAGGCACTGACAACAAAAATTTAATAACTACCAATCTCGTTGCTAACAAGGTACAGTGTCAATGTAGCGTGTAGCTTCCATTTGCAACACAGCAGATATTACAAGAATTCTAACAAAATTATCTTAAGATGTGTTACCAAACTAAATGCTTTAAATACATTTTAATTGTGAAATAATCAGTATACTCTAGATCTAACCTCATTTGTAAAAAATGTTTGCATACCGTATTATTTTCTGGGTATGAAAATTGAGCCATTTCCTATTGGTAAGGATTTACTTTTGATAATGATAAATTCCTATTGATAAGGATCCATCTTTTTGATATAATAACGCTGTAAGAAATGTCCTTATACATAAGTATATATGTGACAAATCTATACAAATATCCTTAACATACATATATATCCTTACTATGTTATATATGTGTGTGTGCAAATATGCTAATAAATTAATGTTCAAAATATATTTACCAACAGTGTATGAATTGTCTTTTTCAATGAGACCATTTCCTTTGCAGCAACACACATGGAGCTGGAGGCCATTATCCTAAGCAAACTAATGCAGGAACAGAAAATCAAATGCCACATATTCTTACTCATTTGTGGGAACTAAACAATGAAAACTCATGGACACAAAGAGGAGAATAACAGACACCAGGGTCTACTTGAGGGTGGAGTGTGGCAGGAGGGAGATGACCAAAAAACTACCTCTCGAGTATTTTGCTTATTATGTGGCTGATGAAGTAATCTGTAGTCCAAACCTCCATGACACAGTGTACCTATATAATAAACCTACACATGAACTTCTGAAGCTAAAATAAAAGTTCATTAAAAAGAAAAGGAAATGCCTTTTCCCTCACATTTGCCAATGCCGGTTATTTTTCAAATAAATTAATGACTGGAAAAAACGGTAACTCATTGTTTACTGATTTTCATTTTTCTGATTAACAGGCAAGGCTGAATATTCTAGTAAAAGTATAAAATTTGTTCATCATGAAAGCCCAAATTAGGATTAGTTTGACAGCATATAGTTATCTCCTATTAAATGTTGCCATAGGCTTACCTGTGATACTCTTCATTCTCAGTGTCAGGAAATTGCTGATTTTCAGGTTTTCTGCTCTTCCTTTGTGGAATTAATCCATCATCACCATTGCCAGCACTGGCACCATTAGTCAGGTTTTCTGGTAATCCCACAGGATTACTTCCATGCTTCTTTATTTCTTCTTCAACCTTGAGTGGAAGTTTGATATTAAGGATGGTTATCACTTTATTGAATAAAAATAACCTTTTTAATTGATTTTATCAATTGACTCAGTTTGCCATTATTTTAGTCATTAAAAATATTTCACACTTAAATTTGATCATATATACAGAACTATAACTGTATAATTTTAAGATGTAATTATCATGTCATTAGTATATCACTGAAATTTTTGTAAAGTTTGCTTGATTCCAGCTGTTTGACTGAATAAAACAGAATTTTCCAAAATTCAAAAAGGGCCCTCCTTCATTTTGTGCTTTTATTCCCAAAAACTCTTCAGAATCTTATATATGAATTTACCCCATTTGACTCGTGGGAACACAAAAATAAAACGACATAGACACAAAATGTGTCTTCTGTCTTTACCACCTAGATTTTACATTAAACACTCAGATGTAGAGGATGAGACACTGGGGGGCTTCAGGAATAGAAAGGAAGATGGCCCTTTTCTGCACTAAGATATTCTCCTCCCCCACTGCCTTTGATCGTTCTTTTTTCATTTGGTTCCTGTATATCAAAAACATGATGGTGCTCACTGAAACATGAAAACCAAAGTTTGCCACAACACAAGGAGCAGAGTGAAACTGCTGAGGTGCAAGCATGGAATTCCAGGAAATTAGATGTTCCCCAAATTTCACATTCAATAGCTATACAATTTTCCAGCTGGAAATTACAAAGAATAAGTAATTATCTTCTTTAGCCACATTATCTAGTGATAATCAGACTAAAACCAAGAAAGATAAAAGGATTGGTCCAAATCTCCTAAAGTGGCATTACCTAGCATTTTATGGCACCATTCAGGATTGTTCCATAATAATGAAAGAATCTCTCTAGGGTTTGTATCTCTTGAAAACTCAATGTACAGAATTCTTTCTGAGTTAAATATTAAATTTTTCACTGGTGATTTATGCTACTTACATGATAGGATCATGTATGCGTACACTTACTACACTTTGTTAAACAGCATAACATAAAAATCTAATTCCACAGAAACATTTGAACATAAAGGTATACCTCTCTATCACAGTCCTTATTTATTTCTGGTTCTTGAGACATTTTCTGCAGATGCAAAAATAGAAGGTTAATTTGCTTGTTGTATTTCCGTGTATGTCTCCTCTTTTGGAATGCATGTTAAAATAATTTTATTCTTAAGTAATCAAGTATGGACATGAAAAATTAGAAAATAAAATAAAATTTAACTGTTAAAATAATTAAATAAATAAATAATTAAAATTAAGAATTAACTTTTTAATCTATGTTTAGCTACTGCCACATCATTGGCTTCTGACTAACATGGGAAAATAATTCACCTTAGACAAAGGGAGAATAAAAACATGAACCAGCAAACTTAACTTTGTCACCATTTGTTTGGACTAAACTTAATTTGTTATGTGTTAAATCTACCAAAAATGAATTAGCAGATGATTTGTAGTGTTCCAAGGGCTTCCTCACTTGAAAAGAGTATATCTCATGAAACCCTAACTAGTGAGCCCCTATAGTGCACTGAAGTGCTTTTTAAAAAGATTCCTAATTGGATTGTAGGCACGCTTTAAATTATTAGGAGCTGAAATCAACACCAAACAGGAAGAAATGCAAATTCTTAAATTTTAATTGAAATTATATGCTGTAATATGATAGTGTTATGTATCTAGATGATCTGCTTAAGTCCAGTTCTAATATATTCTAAGGTGTACTAATTACAGTGGATAAAAATTTTTTAATAATCTGTACTGATTTTCTGCAACTAAAATAAGGTAGAAGGTTATTGTGTTTGTGCACTAACACCAAATGTCCCATTCTGCAAGATATGATTCTTGTAATAGGCAGTTGGGTTGCTTTTATGACCTGGTTCCCTCCCTGAACAGAAATGCTGAGGTCAGTGAGAGACCACAAGGCAGAATATGTCTTTAACCTTGGTATCTGTGACTGACAATATAAAACTGCAGATTTTCAATCACTGGCCGTGATTATTCTTTAACCATGAATCCAGCTCAGGGACCTTCAGTGTTACATTGTTCACAGTTCTATTGCTTAATAATATAATCCAATAATTGATGGTACTTTATCATGTTAGGGTGTTGTAAAAATAAAAGAACAAACAAAGGTCTGGAATATGTTTTTGCCTCTATTCCAAAAGGAAAGATTAGCTATAAGCTAATCAAAAAGGCAGATAAGAATATTTTAAATAAGAATACCATAAAATAAGAGTATTTTAAATTTTATAGTGGTTACGTTTTTAAGCTAAATATCAAATGTTAAGTTAGAATTTATTAATTCTTCTGTTAATGAGATTGCTGAATTTATTAAAATAAATTTTAAGAATCTATTAAAAAATTCTTAAAAAAAGAATCTATTGATTCTTAAAACCTAGTCTGAAAGGTAATTTCATTTGGACTATCTAATATTATTCAAGCAAAGAAAACAACGTTAAATCAAAAATTTAAACTTAAAATTTTCCATGCCTCTGGCTGGCTATTTTCACTGACTTTAAGCCTTTGTGACTCTTCCTCTGATGTCAGCTTTAAGTCTTGTTCTGTTGAGAAATCCATATATTCAGTTAAAATGAACCACTTAGAACAGTTAAAAACTATTGCCTTTATAAAAATAGATTGAAGACAACATTTTATTTTATTTCATAAACTGAGTGTTTAGTCTTTCATGAAATAGTTACTTAGGAAATAATTCTCCAAAACTTCAACAAACCACTTGGGGAGACACCTGATGTGATTCACTCACAAATTCATCCACCCAACATAAATGAACAAAACCACCAGAAACACAACTTCAAAATACAGTAGAAACATATAAGGTAACTCAGTATGTTGTTCACTTCCTAATAGTGAAGCAGTAAATGTAAAGAAAAGGAAATTTAGTTTTAAAGAGAAACAAGTTTTCCTGCACTTAGCTAGTCTGACTCTAAGGATAGTAACAAGCAGGCCCAGGAAAGGTCATGGTGACCCTGTCTGAGAAGCCAGAGCCCACAGGTATGGGCTCCAGACATCCCAGAGCAAGGTTAAGAAAACAAATTCCTTTACCATCTCCCCTCCCCCTCAGCATTTATTCATAGCTATTTTTACAAATGCATATATTTTGCAAATTCTTGTTTTCCTTCAATGCAGCTGCAAGGTCACAAGCTATGCAGTGGTTGCAAAACTGTCACTATATGATTAACTGCCTTTGTTCTGCTTCTATAAGTTTGCCTATATAAGCCAAGCCCTGTCTTTGTTCAGGGCTCAGCTTTTTGATGCAAATCCGCTGAGCTGGTGTGCACCTAAACAAAATCCTCTTGTTTGACCCACTGGGTCTCTCCTGCCTCCTCTTTTCTGCAAAAATAGTACCTTACAAACGATTTCCAAAATTACTACTGACACCTTTATTAGTGTACAATGTCTTCTTAACATCTAAAATGTTTCCATCCACTATTATGACAAATTTATTTTCATTTTTCTTTTTTTTTGTTTTAGCTGGGGTCTTGCTCTGTCACCAGGCTGGAGTGCAGTGGCACAATCTCAGCTCACTGCAACCTCTGACTCCCTGGTTCAAATGATTCTCCTGTCTCAGTCTCCTGAGAAGCTGTGATTACAGGCACACACCATCATGCCCAGCTAATTTTTGTATTTTTAGTAGAGATGGGGTTTCACCATTGGCCAGGATGGTCTTGATCTTTTGACCTTGTGATCCACCTGCTCCAGCCTCCCAAAATGCTGCAATTACAGGTGTGAGCCACCACACCCAGCCTTGTTTTCATCTTTTAAAACAATGCTATGGGAAGTCTTCCTTGATTCTGCAGATCTTTCCCCAGATAAACAGGTAACTCCTTCCTTGAGGTTGCCTTAGGACCTCACTGATTTTTCTACTGCACCTTTACCACCTGAACTGTACACTATTCCTCCACATGTCTGTCCCCTCTGCTCCAAGACTGCAGAGGACAGTCTTGCACATCATCTTTGTAAAAACAGTCTTTATTTTACTCAGAAATTTCTTATTGAGTCCTGCTACATACATGCTAGGTGTTAGGGTTTAAAAAGAATGAAAATAAAGCCTGTCAGGGATGGCTTTTCTAGAACACCTGCCCAAGCAGAGACTTAAATATTGAGGCTAGCTAGATTAAAAGTGGTAGAGGGCAAGAAAGGGTGACAGCATGCCACACAGCAGCAAGAGCAGGAGCGAGGCCTGAAAGAGTGAAAGTATTTGCCTGCAATAGAAGGAGGAGTGAGTAGGGCATTAAGAGCCACTCAGTAATGCCAGAGAAAGGGCACACAGGGAAAAGGGCTAAAGATGTAGAATAGGGCAGAAGTCAGATTATGAAAGCCTTATGTGTACCTTTAAGATGCTTAGACATTAACGTTCAAGAGTGGTCCCTGGTCCTATCTGTATTAAGATGTAGATCATTTTAATGCCAAAACCAATATTCCTAGTGAGCCATTATTCATTAAGACAAGGTGACAGCTAGCTCATGTGGACACAGCTGAGATGATACTATGTAGCAAATTCCCAATAATTCTCATGAACACTTGGAAAGTCAATTCTATAATAAGTCATAGAAATTATAATAAATCACTTAATATTTGTTTGGGAAGGTGCTTTATAAAGTTATAGTGTATATGAATATAACTAATAGTTGTGAATTCAGAGCTGTGAGAATAAAGCAAAAAAATCACACTGTGTTTGAGTCAGCAATCTTTAGATTTCTATCTAGTCTTCCTACCCAGTCCATAAATTCTAAGTATAATCCTAGTACTCGCTCTCAAGTTTAAGTTAAATGCTAGCCTATACAAAAAATACTCTTTCTCTTACTTCTTTTTTGTTATTTATATGTTGCTTTGTTTAAAGGAAGAACACAAAAATGCCCTGCTAAAGGGATTCTGTTTGGCTGCAGGCTGCAAGAGGGGAAAAACACAAAGCACATTTTGCAGAAAATGATTTTTTAGAAGTCAGAACTATGACATGAAGTCAAGCAGGGCACTCTAGGACTGACTTTGCTGTGCTTCCTTAATATGCTCCTTGCTCTCTTTCTTTTCTGGAAGCTGTGACTCACACAGGTCATGGAGAAAATTTCGTACTCCTTCCTCATTCCCAGCTTAAATACTAGTGTACAACGTGGAAACCTGTAAATTATCTGACATTTCTCTCTGTCCTCCAAACCTTTCTCATTCAATTATCACTAAATCATATTGACTATACCTCTCTTCTGCCTCTGCTTTATATTACCACTTCCACTGAGAACATAAACATTTACAAAATGGCTTTTATTACAAAAAAGCCTTCCAACTATTAATGTTATTTCTTACATGAAAAAAATTAAGCAAAACAAATGAAAAAAGCATAACACCAAAAAAAGGCCAACACATTAAAATGAGTAACGGGGATTCCAAACTTTATTTCACCATGGGCAGGTGAAAACCTTAGAATACATTGATAGTAGTCCAAGGATGTGTGACATGGAAACTATAGCTGACTACTGCAAAAGCTTCCTTTGTCTCCTGGTTTCTTTACATGGTTATCTTCCATCAATCCCAGCAAACTATAGGCCACAGGACAAATCCAATCTGCCTTTTGGCTTTGTAAATAAAGTTTTATAGGAGCTCAGTCATGCCTGTTTGCTTACATATAATCATGGTGGCTTTCACACTACAACAACAGACAACAGCCTGGTTAAGTAGATATGACAGAGACCACATAGTCTAAAATATTTCCCACCTGGTCCTTTACAGAAAAAGCTTGCTAACCCATTTTACACCATAAGCAGAATATGCCTTAATATTCAAATTTAATCTTGTAACTCCCCTGCTCAAATTTCTCCAATGAGCCCCTGCAGCACACATTGTTGGCTCCTATCAATAGCCATTCCTTATTCTTTCTTGCAGAAGAAACACAAGTCTATTGGGATATTTATTATCCCAATCCCCCTCCTCAGCCTCAGAAAGAGAAATGTTTATTCTAAGCTAATCATGTATTTGCCATCCCATTGCCTGGTTTGGGAATGAGCATGTGGTGTGACCCAGCCAATGAAATGTTACAGGAAGCCCCTTGCATGCTTCTAAGTTTTCTCCCTGTTTAAAAGACACATGTGAAGAAAAGCAGCCCTTGAAATGTTGTGTTGTGAGAACAAGATGTTTGGAGCTGCTGCGGATTAGCCAACCACGAAAGGAAACATGAAGAAAACACTGCCAACAGCACAGCTGAAAGAGGGAAAAATGGGATCCTAGGATATCACTGAACAACCAAAACAACTCTGGTTCCTACTGTTTTAGCCACTGCTCATCTAGTATTTACAGTCCAAAGCATTCTACCTGGTAAATTTCCCATGGCCCACAGGGTAAGACCTACTCATTTCTATAGTATTAAAAAAGTCTATCATAAACTTGCCTTAGCTAAGTATTCACCTCATTCCCAAACTCTGGTGTCTCACACTTTTGGTACTAGCAAAAGTGAACTGCTCAGAAACCCTGCAAAGTTCACTCGGCATCTTGTCTTTTGCAGTTGTTGCTCTTCCTGCCAAACAGGCAATCTCATCAGATGTTCTTCTGGCAAACACACAAACTTGTTGCAATTTCCTCCTGCCAAAAATTATTCTTCTGCTTCTTTACCTAGAAAAATTCTTCTCACTCTGCATGCTTACTTTGAATCATACCTACTTTTTTTCAAAACTTTCATTCCTCATCACGTATGTCTGGCACATAATTAATACATAATAAATCATAATTATAAGCTTCCAGTTGGCATCTAGCACACAGTAAGCACTGAATAAAGTAGTAAAATAATAAAAATGACAATGATAATAACAAGCTCCTGTCTGTATTTTTAATTGTGTGTGTTCTGTAGCATTAGAAAAATGATTAGTATCTAAAAGACATTTGATAGTTATTTGTTAAGTGGACAAGTGAAAACATAGAAATGTTTTCTTTGTAAATTCTGTTGAAAAAACACAGAAATGAAATAGAGACACCTCTATTATGAGCACCTTAAAGATCAAAACTACATCTATTCCATCTTTGTCTTCTGCAACTTATAAAACCTAACTTACAGAAGCTTTTTGATAAATAGATGGCTAAATTAAAGGTGTCCTCATCCAGTTTGGATTATACAATGTATTAGGTGTCCACAACCAGGTGGCATACTAGTATTTTTGTTAATGTGAAGCATTTTTCTACTTTTATTATAATCTGCTGAGCCTAGAGTTGGGCAATTTGTATATTTATTATGACAATCTTTTGGTAAATGGTAGCAGAGCATCTTGTTCTAACAAAATTACTGTTATCAAGACAATTGACCAGCAGGTAGAGAACACATCTTGTTCCAACAAAGTAAATGTATCTCTTTCCAACTTCAAATGAGGAGGAATGAAGTCAGTAAGAGTGAGACCTTGTTGGGACAAGGATATGTAACATGACTTGTGCTTTGGCGTTCTTTTGTGATCAAAAATTCCTTACTTTTATTTTTTTATCTATGGTAGGACCACCCAGAGCAGGGGTCCACAACTCCCAGGTCACAGACTGGTACCAGTCCATGGACTATTATGAACCACACCACACAGGAGGAGGTGAGCAGCAGGCAAACCAGGGAAGCTTCACCTGTACTTACAGCCACACCCCATGGCTCATATTACCGCCTGAACTCTGCCTCCAGTCAGATCAGTGATAGCACTAGATACTCATTGGAGCATGAACCCTATTGTGAACTGCTCATCTGAGGGATCTAGGTTGTGTGCTTCATATGAGAAACTAATGCCTGATGATCTGTCACTGTCTCACTTTGCCCCCAGATGAGACCATCTAGTTGCAGAAAAATAAGCTCAGAGTTTCCACGGATTCTACATTATGGTAAGTTGTATAATTATTTCATTATATATTACAATGTAATAATAATATAAAGTAGCACAATAAATGAAACATGGCTGAATAATCCTGAAACCATCCCCACCTTCCCCCAGCCCATGGAAAGACTGTCTTCCACAAAACCGGTCCCTGATGCCAAAAACATTGTGGACAACTGACCTAAAGTAATTCATTATCACAAGTCTTACCTGGATTGCTGTTTTCAGAAGAGATTTTTAGCATCTGTTTTTCTTTATAGTCAGAAAGTAATTCACAAATTCTATGTATAAAAATGTAATAAACCAAATTACTATTTTAATACTGATATAAAAAATACTTACCAAATGTAAAATTCTTAGAGTATTTCAAACAATATCATAATATCAGAATTTAACAGTATTATCCCATACACTTACGAGTACATTCTACAAACTTTTCTTTAAGCTTCTAATTAAAGAAGAAAAAAAATTAGGTGAAATGCTCATAAATCAAGGGCACTGTGACCCAGTAAATCAGCATGCATTAGCATGACATAATAGAAAGTGTCCCAACTCTGCATAAGTCCTAGCTCCATAATGAACAGCTATTTGTTCTTGGACAACTTTCTTCTCTTAGGCTCAATGTCTTCTTCTACAAAGTGAGGACTTTGCTGCCTTATTTCACTAGGTTGTTATAAAGATTTAACAAGGTAACATTTTTTAAATGCTCAGAGAAATAGTAAAGCAATGGAATAATCTGTTCCTAAACTTTATGACTAAAATTATCTTGGAATCCCAAATAAAACCCCATGTGTATTTTGTTCATAGGTTCTAATATGCAAATGCTGTAGTTTTCAGAAAATGTTATTAAGTCCTAATTTTGCTTCTTAGTTGTCCTACTCCTTATGGCTTATCATTCAGGGCATCTCAACTGTGTCATAGTTTGTAACTAAATTTTTTCATAAATCTCTCATTAAAGTAGATAATGTGATTGTCCACTATTACGGAGTTGACCAATTTGTTGTGCTAAGGGCAGAAAAACCAATGGATGTTAAGACCTGGCTTGGAGCAATGATCCTTCTCTACAGACTCAAACTCTGAGCCAGCAGATGTTTGTTAAGATAATGCTTTATGTTGATGTTCAATTCCAGCTGACATGGGAGACCAAAACTCTACTTTTATTTTTTTTCAGTTTTCATGAAGAAGCTGCAAATTGACATTCTCTAATTTTTGACGTACATACTTATAATATATTTTGCACTGAACACATTATTCAGCTCTAAATCATCTCACAGACCATCTTCCATGACTATTTTTGCAGCACAAATCACATTTCGATATTTTGGTGGCACCCATTTTGCTTTGATTCACACTGTTTCCTTAGAGCTAGTCAGCAAATAGTGAAATGATCTTCCAGTGACTGCACAAAATATGGAATGCTTCAAAGAGTTGTGCTGCCTCCTTATGCAGAAGCCGTGCTAACTTTCTCTGTATTGTTCCAATTTTAGGATATGTGCCGCCAAAGCAGGCACAAAGCCCTACTTTTACACATGATTTGTGATGAGTCATGGGCAAGGCTTGGCTCTTGTCCATGACTCATCACTACTTACTTAACCCACTTGAGATTCTGAGAATTCTCTTCAATGGCTTCCTGTGAGGTACAATTTGAAAATATTTTAAAATCTTGAGCTAGAGATGGAAGTAGCTTGGACGATTTTCATTATCATGTAAATCAGATCACTCAAGGGGCCAACCACAGCTGGGAGCCACTGCTTGGGGAAGGCTCATATGGGACTTTCTACTGCCTAAGGTTCTACACAGGATATAAAGGTGCCTCACAGTGTAGATCTGGTAGCAAAGAAGAAGAAACAAACACTGATCTCTTTCTGCCACATTATTTGAACCCCTCTGACCCTTTATAACAAGCCCACCTCATATCTGCTAGAGAAAAGACCAACAACGGCCTGAAAGGATCTCTTACCATGAAGGTCTCAGCTAATTCTTAGCTAAGATGTGGGTTCCACATTAGGTTCTGAATACAGGAGGAAGGGTCAATTTGCTCACTTTGTGTGCGGATAAAGTCAGGATGCCCAGCGGCCAGAGCAGGGTGCTGGTGCTTTGGGAACAATGGCTGAGCATATAAGCATAGGTAAGGGAACTAAAAAATGTTGTAACTTCAAAGTCACTGTGTGAATCCCCATGAAGACTTGAGGGATCTGAATCAGTAAGGGCACCTTGGTGTCAAAGGTCAACAATTACCAGGCAGCAGAAGCAGTTTGAGTGGCAACAATGCAGCAACAGAAACAATGGAAACAACAGAATGATTGGAATGTCCTTTTTTCTCTCCTCCTTCTGACTTGATAAAAGGGACTGTCTTCCTTGGATTTAGTGAACCCCTTTGGTTCTTGAAAAATTCAAGGAGTATGTAGGAGACAGTCCCCAGAAGACAGTACAAGGCTTTCTGCTAAACTGGACATTTCAAGACCCAAATAACTAATCAGAAAAATCAAAGATGTGATACTCTTTTTTATGCCATGCATAGGTGTTATACTTGGATGAAATGAACAATATTGGGATCTCTAAGGATAAAGGTCTTAAAAGTCCTGAGGTAAAGAATCCTGCACCCATTGGTACTTCTAACTTGTCTTGCTTTTTGTCTGATTTCTGGCTGATGCAGGGGACTAACTCACTGCCACTCTAAAACTACCTGAACCAAACTATGACATCTCACCTGATATGTAAGATGCAATTGTTATAATTATTTTAAACCTCAATTTAGCATTAACTAGCCTTTTCATGTAAACACTTACACATGATGATGACTAGAAACAGCATACTCTCTGGCTGTCTGTCCAGATAGATCTTGAGAAGATACATCAACATTTTGCTCAAGTAGAAGATTGACTATACTTGCTGATCCACAACATACAGCAAGTATGAGGGCAGTTCTAAAATTACAGAGATAATTTCTCCTTTAGGAACTGTAATAAAGTTATTTTAAAAGCTAATTTGATATACTTTACCAATTTGACATCTTGCCTGTCCATGCAGAATCAAACATTTACATGCGCTAAAAGACATAAGCATCTTGGGTGCTCAAGAGTTCATCTTTGTAAAATACCACCAAGGTTAAAAGGAAGGGACAAAAAGGAAACCTCTTATCTCAGTGGGGTATTGCATAGCAGAAGCTACTAATTTAAAGTCCTTTGATGGGCAAGAAACAATGCTAGGGCCACTTATCTGAAGTGGACAAAGATTTAAGTGAAGATTTTGTCACAGCTTCCCTAGACTGATATGCTGTAATAGAAAATTAGCTAGGGGCTAAGATAAATAAGAGCTCTCTGCATGCTGAAAGCAGTAATATTAATAATAATGGTAAGAATAGTAGTCACAGGAGTTTCAGTTAATGATGCCAATAAGCATGTGCTATGCACTGAATTAAATGCCACATGTACCTTTCTTGCTTATGCACAGCCAACTTTGAAGGATATATTCTCCTACTTTTCACATATGACAACATATTGGGTGGTAAATCACGTTCCCAATGTCACACACGTAGCAAGTAAGAAAGTTAGGAATTAAACCCAGTCTTGTGTGAATCCAAAGCGTAGCTCTTTTCTCTTTATCACCCACCTACAGCTTGCCTTCATTAAAGGAAAAGTGTATCCACTTAAAACTATCTTCACTCCCTCTCTCCATACCAACTAAAAATAAAAACATCAAAATACACTGGAAATAAAAAAGGAAAAAAGCTGTTGAACCCACAGTATGTGGGAATAGCAATTAATTGTCATGTAGGGATAAGCTAACATTAATATTCTTCAAAGAAAGCAACTTAAAGCAGAGTCATTGAAAAGACAAAAGGATTTTCAACTCCTATTTATGTTTAATACAGCATATTTAGTGGAAAAGCATATAAGATACAGAGGTTAAAACCTACTAGAAAGGGTTAAAAAGTTCAATACTGAGTCATAAAGTAAACTGAAAGTTAAAGTTCAAACTTCATAAAATTAATATGAAATCCCTTTAGCTAACATAAGATCATGTAACCAAAAACATCATACAACAAATAACATCAGTCAATATAATAAGAGAAGATGAATCCTACTAAAACAGTTCTTTATGTTGCCCAGTCCAAATAATTGCTTTTCTACTTAACTGATTTGTGTTGATACTGATCACTATGTCCCAATAAGTATAATTTGATCTTATTAATTTATTATTTATGACTTGAGTGACTGCTATCAATCTAGAACAACACACAGATTAAAAGAAATAACCATACCTTCCATATCTATCAAGTGCATTTAAATTAGCTTTTTTCTTGATTAAAAATTTCACCACTTCCTGTTTTTGTTCATGTACGCCAAGCAAAAGTGGTGTGAGGCCACACTGTAAAACAATATAAAACAAAAACAATATGTAATTCAAAAAATTATGTATCTCTCAACTGAACTAGAAGCTTATGGACTTACACTCACAGAAAGTAAATAAAATTTGGTCGCTTCCTTCTCACTCTTCTGTACTTTCCCACATGCCACTCCTTCCCTTGGAAACATCCCTTCTCTGCCTCACCACATTAAATCTGATCATCTCAAAAACTCACTTTAAACATTTACTGTTTCCAAGACTCTTTGTTTCTAAATGAGCATTTGGCATGGCACTTTTGGATGATTTTTTTTTTCATTTAAACAAAAAGCTTCTTGAGGGCAGGGGCTGTATCTTTTATCTCTATTATTATCCAATCCTAAGACAAAATTGTTGTGTATAAAGCAAGAATTTGAATGTAAAATATTTCTTTAGTTTCACATGTTTTACCAAAGTTCAAGCTCCAACATGCAATAAATATTGCTATTAATACTCACACTGCCCATTTCAAGAATTTTTTCCAACATTTATTCATTTAAAATCTATTTGTATTTAATTTTTCCAGATTGTTAACTAGATAGATAATCAGTTCATAGGATTACTGAAACTAAGAGATTTCCTATCTGTATTCTTAATAACTCCATGGTTTTGAGTGTTTAAACCTGCCATCCTGATTAAGCCAAAGCTCTACAAACTTAAGAGACATACTGGATAGCCCACAATATAGCTTCAATTGACAAAAAAGGTTTAGAATTTGCTACAATTCTGAGAAAACTCTGCTCTTAAAAACGACTTACTGACCTAAGCACTTGAATGATTGAACAAAGGGACACAAAGTCCTGAGAGAGCCATCCTCTACTTATTGGAAGACTACTCACTGCAAATTTCTAAAGACCTTCTGAATGGCAGTGAATAACTGATGGTAGAAAGGAAAAGGTATTATTCTGTAAGCTGATAGATAGTGCCAATAATATTTATTTTAATGTCCCAACGACAGAGATAAGTCAGACTAGGCCAGGAATGGTGGCTCACACCTGTAATCTTAGCATTTTGGGAGCCTGAGGTGGGTGATTCACTTGAGCCCAGGAGTTCAAGATCAGCCTGAGAAACATGGCAAAAACCTCATCTCTACTAAAAAAAAAAAAATACAAAAACAGATTGGAGGACCACCAGAGCTTAGGGACGTCAAGGCTGTGGTGATCTGTGACCGCACCACTGCACTCCAGCCTGGGGAACAGAGTGAGACCCCATCTCAAAAACAAACAAACAAAAATTTAGATTAATGTTATTGGAAAGGAAAGATTTAAAGGAATTAGCACATATCCAACTCCAACTCTTCTAGAAATATCTGAAGTTTCTGAGATATAAGAATTTACATATTACACTTATGTATTCAGTGGTTAAGCAGGAGTGTATCCGGATTTTGAGAAATTTGTTGTTGTTGTTGTTAGAGACAGGGTCTCATTATGTTGACCAGGCTAGACTAGAACTCCTAAGCTCAGGCAATCCTCCCACCTCAGCCTCCCTAGCAGCTGGGACTACAGCCATGCACCACCATGCCTGGCTTCAAGGAAACATTTTTAAACATACATATCCAGGCTTTATTAGACTTACTCTATCAAAATCTTCAGGGGAAAACCTAGACTTGAAGATTATTTAAAAATTTTCCTGAAGTAACTGGAATGCACAACTCTAGCTGGAAGCTAGTGCAATAGACAATTATTTCAGTCTCATCTCTCATCACATAAACAATTCCCTTTATCATTTGAGGATTTGGCCAAAAAGAGGAAAGAGTAGGAGAGAGACTCATTTGCTGAAAACACCACAAAATTTTCCCCGGTAAGAGTAGAACAAGGTCTAGTAAACTCAAAATCCAACCTGATCTTTTTACTTATAAGCCCCTTATCTCCCACCTTCCCATCAAGACATTCTAGAATTGAAAGCAGAGTTGAGACTCTAATTGGCCATTTCTACCAGAATAGGATACTAATTTGGTTAATTACTTGTTATTCCTTCTACTCAAGGGTTTCCCACTACATTACCACATATTCACTGCCAGTCTGGTTCCTCAGAGGCCTCCTAAAATTGATCTCTAGGCAGTTTACAACCCACTAACTCCCTCTCCCAAACTGAAAACTGTCATTCTCTAAAATGGAAAAGAACCCTGTCTCACCATATAAAGGAAACAAATGAATGAACAACAATAACAACACACACACACACACACACACACACACACACACACAAACAAAAACAAAAACAAAAACAAAAAAAAACCTCTTCATGGTCTTTTCCCCCATTACCTAATTTCCAAGTTGGCCTTGGTATTTCTGATTGCTGCATTTTTCCCTTTCCAATTCTGCCTCATGAGCAATCAGAAATATCTTAAGCCTTGCCACTGAGAGATACATCACCTCATATCTATTAGTGTTTTTTTAGGAATTTGCCAAAGTAGCAGGATTACTATTCACTGAAACATGTTTAAGTTTTCTTGGAGTTTTAATGTAAAACCTATTTCCAGGGCAAATTTTGTCATTTTACATTTGTTAGGGAAAAAAAAACTTGGCAGGGAAAAATTGAAAAAAAAAAAAGTATTACCTTTTACAAATTCAGTGTTTTTTTTTTTTAAAAAGCATTAACCACAAGTGCACTGAAAAAAACTGTACCCTCTAATGCTTCTTTAAAAGTAACAATATTTAAAATAAAGTCTTAGATAATTAAGTCATTTCAAAATATTTTCATTCAGGTTATGCTTGAGCTTCCAAATACGGAAAACTGGCCCTTACACAGGTCAATGTTAACACGAATGCATTTCAGTATTTTGAAGATAAAATTGGTAGATCTATACCTTGTTTTTTGATTCAATATCAGCACCATATAAGAGCAGTGCTTTGGCCATTAATTTATCTTCATTGTAGATAGCATAGTGTAGAGCGGTATTTCCATACTCATCTTGAATATTTCCATCAGCGCCATGTTCCAGCAACATTAACACACATTCATCTTCCTGGCATTGTACGGCCTGTCAGTATTAGACCAAAAACAAATTATAAGTCCTAGGAATTCAAAATAACATTCCACAGCTTTCACCAACTAGTTATATTTAAATGAGAAAACTCATTTTTATGCTATCTATTGAAATCAAACCCATCTCACGCTGATATAGTTGACTACTGCATACCTTTATCAGAGCTGTCCTTTTTTTGTTGTCAAGGACGTTAAGTTGACATCGTCTGTCCAGCAGGAGTTGTACTACTTCTGAATTTCCATTGGCAGAGGCCAAATGTAGAGCAGTCCTATGAGAGTGAGAAGACTTCAGGAAATTGTAGTGCACTAGCTAATGCCACATTAATGATTCATGTAGTTGCAAACACTGAATAGCCTATTACTCTGCCTTCAAAACAAACTCAATTTTCCTTTGAAGAAAGCACACTACTTATTACCTCTCATTAGTCACTGTATTAATGAAAGAGCAGCCTATTTGAATAGAAAGAGCATAGCTCTTGGATGACATTCAACTTGGGCTGGAATCCTACTTGAAGCTCTGTCGCTTCCTAGCTGTTGCTTAGCCTTTTTGTGTCTCAATTTCCTCATCAATAAAATGGGAATGAAAATAGTCAGTTTCTCAGAGGAAACCACTGTAATGCTTAAATAAGACTCTACACAAAATATAGAATAGTTCCTAACACAAATAACAGCTCAAAAATTGTAAGATATTATAATTTTTACTAATACCACTAAAGACAACATTTGAATTAAGTGAAACGATACAATTATACCTACACTTTCAGGTACATTTTAAAGATTACAGGTAGCGTTGTACTGTATTTTATTGAGTCTAAGATGATCATTGTCTCCATGTTTTAACATTTCTTACACTGAAATACCACTTATTAATTCATGATTTACTATAATTATAATTGGCAGCATTTAAATAATTTTCTTAGTGAGACATAAAATAATGGGGCATCATACAATCCCTGGTGCCTTACATTAAGTAGAATATGTTATAATATAACAGGTCTGGGGCAGTTCCAGTCAGATGACTAGCATTTAGATAAATTTTAGTTCTTAAAAGAACTATGGAATAAGAGGGCTGAGGTGAAAACAAAAACAATTTTCTAAAATAATCTATTTCTTACTTTGGTTTTCAAAAACTTTAAGCCAAAGAAATCTTGAAATTCAAATGAATAGCATGGGCTCATTTTTTTCAATACTTAGATTTATACAACGTATGTACATCAGATATTTCCAATCATTCATATTAGGATTTAAGACTGTTATAAATTTTCTCTTTTTAAAATGGATTTATGAAACTATTTGTGGAGCTTTTTTCAACTTTTACATTCGGGGATACAGGTGCAGGATGTGCAGGTTGGTTAACATAGGTAAACGTGTTCCAAGGGGGTTGGCTGTACAGATTATTTCATTACTCAGGTGTTAAGCCTAGTACCCGTTAGTTCTATTTCCTGCTTCTTTCCTTCCTCCCACCCTCCACCCTCTGATAGGCCCCAGTGTGTGTTGCTTCCCTCTAGGTGTCTGTGTGTTCTCCTCATTTAGCTCCCACCTATAAGTGAGACCATGCAGTATTTGGTTTTCTCTTCCTATGTTAGTTTGCTAAGGATAATGGCCTTCAACACCATCCATGTCCCTGCAAAGGACAGGCTCTTGTTCTTTCTTTTGTGGCTACATAGTATTCCATGCTGTTTATGTACCACATTTAAGTTCTTAAAACAGCTAAAACAGTGTTTACCCAAGTCTTATACATTTTCAAAAGGGCAGTTAAGGGTTATCTTTTACTATTTTCCACCTTCAGAAGTGCTTTTGTTTGAAAGGAGGGAGGAAAAGCTTCAATTGAGATTAAGTCCTAATGCCCCAATTTTGATTCTCTCAGCTTGCTCAGGCGCAGCAGGTAAACATGAAGTTTTCAAAGGTGGAAGGATCCTGAGAGATAGCAGAATATGCTTGCCATATAATAGGTGTCTGGCTTATGTTTGATGACTAAACGGATTGAAAGAATGGATAAACATAGGTTGGAAGTTCAATATTTTTAAAAGAAAACTCCTGTTGAGTAGAGCAATACATTTGCGATAGTAACAATCATTTATATTTGCTATTTTAGTTTTCATAAATATATAACTAAACTAAAATAATTAATCCATACTATTTACACATCAATCTATATATAATAAGATGTATACACAATAAAATCTACCAGAAGAGGTAAACAGAAGCCCTCTACTTCTGAAGAGGGTAAAAGTTCACAGAAGATAGCCATCCACAGGTATAAAAATAAATAATAGAATGTAAGAAATTATTTGTATCTATGCAAGTAGCATATTCCTTCTCTTCCCAAGGATTATTTCATTACTAATGAAACTTAACTAAAACTTTGCAGATGTTCATTGCAGAAATCACAGATAAGAGAAAGGGAAAAACTTCACTTACAAATCCCCAGAAATAAGTTTGATTATATTTTCCACATATTTCCAGCTAACACAAGAGCAGATTCTATTTGTGTATATGTATAACAAACTGATTTTTTCTCACTTGATACAGCAAAGTACATCTCTGCATGCCGACATATCTCTGTATCTACTGACACCCTCAATGGTTACATATTATTCCATCCTATGGATGCACTGAAATTTGTTCATAAAATCTTTATATGAGTTCTTCTCAATACATGGCTATTTTAAGCAATACTAAGAAAAACAGCTGTGTCTGTTTCATATAGATATTTCGGTATAATGGAACAGATGGGTAAAAGGCATACACATTTTAAAAATGTGGTTCTTACCATCAAAGTGTCTATTTGAAAAGTCGCAGCAACTTAAACTTTCAGCAGGTATATAAGTACCACTGTTCTTCACCCTCACAAACTTTGTGGACACAAAACAGTATTTCATTCCTTTATATTTATTTATTTATTTTTATTTATTTATTTTTTTGAGATGGAGTCTCACTCCATCACCCAGGCTGGAGTGTAGTGGTGCAATCTCAGCTCACTGCAACCTCTGTCTCCCTGGTTCAAGCAATTCTCCTGCCTCAGCCTCCTGAGTAGCTAGGATTACAGGTGCATGCCACCATGCCCAGCTAATTCTTTGTATTTTTAGTAGAAACGGGTTTCACCATGCTGGCCAGGCTAGTATCAAACTCCTGACCTCGTGATCCACCTGCCTTGGCCTCCCAAAGTGCTGGGATTACAGGCATGAGCCACCATGGCTGGCCTTTCATTCCTCTTCTAACTTAAACAGAAAATAGTCTTTCATTCCTCTTCTAACTTAAATTCCTTCTCTTAGCAGGAATGCTATGTTTTCCTATGTACACAGGTCACTGGTAGACATGCAAAAAAGTACCTTGCCCAATTTTAAATTGAGCTTATTTTATTATATCTGCATATATATGCCGGTTTCAGTGGCTCATGACTGTAATCTCAGCACTTTGGGAGGCTGAGGTGGGTGGATCACAAGGACAGGAGTTCAAGACCAGCCTGGCAAAGATGGTGAAATCCCGTCTTGATTAAGAACACAAAAAATTAGCCAGGCATGGTGGTGGGTGCCTGTAATCCCAGCTACTTGGTAGGCTGAGGCAAAGAATTACTTGAACCAGGAACCAGAGGTTGTAGTGAGCTGATATTGCACCACTGCACTCCAGCCTGGGCTATGGAGTGAGAGTCTGTCTCAGAAAAATAAATAAATATTTGCACATATAAATAGGCATTTGTGTTTTCTTCTGGTACTTTTCTCCTTTTGTATCTTTAAAATTTTTAATCTATACTCCAGGAACTTATTTTTGTGACATAAAAATCTAGGTAGTTTTCTCCAAACAGCATGCATTTAATTTATGAATAATTCACCTTGTTTTACCAATATGAAACATCACCATTATCAAGTGCTAAATTCTTACATATATTTGGGTATTTCTGGATTTCCTATTCTGTTCTGTTCACTTATGTCTTTTCAGCTGTTAGTAAACAATTTGTGGAAATAACACACGCACATTTTGATATCTGGAAAAGCAAGTCTTTTTCCATTCTGTTACAAAAAATCAATTTATCACAATGATAAAATACATCATGTGCAATTTAAAGACACTAAGACTTTGCTATTTTTATTTGGCTTATGTAAAAGTGATAAACACAGAAAAAGCTCACATCTTAAGAAAAACGAACCTTCCTATTCAAAGATATGAACCATACTTCCCATTTCAGTTTCCTTTTAAGGTTACTCAGTAAAGAACGTGTTTACATAGGGTACACATCGATATAAAATCCATATTGGATTTTATTTGAAAAATATTTAGCCCAGAAGTTGATATATTATGGGACTTAGTTCTCAATATACACCTTTCTATAGTGTATAGAACATTGTTTTAAAATGTGTACATTAAAAATAATCTGCTGCATCGACTTAATTTTGCGAGTTAAATCACTTTAAAACCGTCTATTAGTGTTCTATAAGGGAAATTATAATTGGATTGGAAATCAGCTAAAGTTTTGTTTTTGTGTTGCTGTTTATAAAGGGACCTGGGCCCTGACATCTCTGAGGTTTCCACACCCAGGGTGGTGTGGGGCCTGCGGAGGAAGAGAAAGCCTGGCTCCTCCCTCCCTGCGCCAGGAGGGTATGTCCCCATCATCCCCCCATGTCCCGCCTCCTCCCATCCCAGGCCCGGTTACCTCTTTTGCTTGTCCCTCTTGTTCATGTCAGTGTCCCTGAGCATGACGATGAGATCCTTTCTGGGGACTTTACCCCACCAGGCAGCTCTGTGGAGCTTGTCCAGATCTTCTCGACGGACGTGGTACCTCGGCTCCATGAAGGCGCTGTCGTCGTAGTCTCCCCAAGTGCCCACGTTGCTCTTGCCGCTCCCCCTGCAGCAGGGGAAGCAGTGACAGCACCACTTGCCCATCTTGCTCCTGAGTGTCTTCATAAAGGAGTCGTCATGGTCTCCAGAAGTGCCCACATTGCTCGTGCCGCTCCCCCTGCAGCAGGGGAAGCGGTGGTGGCACCACTTGCCCATCTTGCTCCTGAGATCAAATGGCTTCTTCACAGCAGAGGCAGCGGGCATTGAACAAACCTCAGCCACCATCTGCTTTTAACAGCCAGGGGAGGCCGGTAGTAGCGAACAGATCGCGTCTACCAACCAGTTTCACCAACTAGCAGGAAACCCTGGGTTTCCAATCTGTTTGAAGAGAAAGGTCAATCCCAGCCAAAACTTGCCAACCCCAGCAAGGGAGCCCAGCCCACCCCACCCAGGGAAAACCCACACCCACCCGGGGAAAGCCCACGCCCACCAGGGGGACCCCACGCCCACCCCAGGAAAGGCCAAGCCCCCCCTCCCAAGGAAACACCCAGCCCAGTCAAGGGAATGCCAAACCCAGCAGAGAAAAGGTCAAGTCCAGCAAAGGAATGCGAGGGAGGAAACGCCAATCCAAGCAAGAAACACCAGGCAAAGCTACTAACAGCCAAGCCAAGCTAGGAACGCAAGGCCAAGCGAGGAACGCGAAGCGAAGCGTACCCGTTACAGGTAAGCCAAGCCGTTATGCGCGTGCGGGGCGCGCGTGCGGGGCGCGCGCCTCAGACGTTATGCGGCGTGTGCGTGAGGCGTGCGCGTGTCATTGCACGTGGTCCAGGAAGTGGCCGATGTGTGCAATCCGCGTGCGCAAGTCTTGGCGCCACAAATGTCAGTGACAGCCTTGCGTTACTGGCAAAGTTCATGGGAGTTGGCCCAGCTTTCTGGCCACTGAGGAGAGAAGCCTGTGGTGGGAAAAAGCCTCTTGAAGCAGGACTGGGGCTAGAGCGCCTGGAACTCGAGGATGCTGACAGCCTCCTCTGAAGAAAGCCCCCAAGACACTAGTGGTGGCGCTGTTGCGGGTGGCCGCCGCTGCAGCTTAGAGCTCTGGTTGGCGGAGCTGGATGCAAATGGCCTCAAAATCTCCAAGCACAAGACGCCCACGGAGCCCAGGGCCTGCCTGAGGCGCCTTCCACACCTGCTCCTCCTTGGTCCGCACCCAGAACACAGGGCCATCAGCAACGGGGCACTCGGGGCCACAGAATCGGGGCTGGGCTGCTAGCTCCTGCTGTGGTGCCCCCTGCCTGGTGTCCAAACCAGGGCCAACAGCTGTGGGGCTTCTGGCCCGGGGTGCTTCGCTTCACTGGCATGCAGTAGGGTTGAGGTGCAGGCCGCTGTCTCCAGGCCTGCAAGAGGGGGCTGGGAGGAGCACCTACCACTGATGGGGAGATGCAGGAAGGCACCCCCACGTGCAGATCCTGGGAACAGGACACTGCCAGCACCAGGGAGCCAGATCGGAGCCTCCCTGGCAGCCTGTGAGCTGGACCCAGGCAGTGGCACCTCTACCCTCCTGCTGGGACCCTCCTGCTGTGCAGGCTTATGCAGCCAGGCTCCAGGCTGCTTCACCCATACTGCAGGTGCTTTGGTGTGGGAGGAAAAATGCATTCTGGCCGGGCACTGTGGCTCACGCGTGTAATCCCAGCACTTTGGGAGGCTGAGGCGGGTGGATCATAAGGTCAGGAGATAAAGACCATCCTGGCTAACACGGTGAAACCTCATCTCTACTAAAAATACAAAATACTAGCGGGCATGGTGGTGGGCGCCTGTAGTCCCAGCTACTCGGGAGGCAGGAGAATGGCGTGAACCTGGGAGGCGGAGCTTGCAGTGAGCCCGAGATCGCACCACTGCACTCCAGCCTGGGCGACAGAGCGAGACTCCGTCTCAAAAAAAAAAAAAAAAAAAAAAAAAAAGAAAAGAAAGAGAGAGAGAGAGAGACAGAGACAAAGACAGAGACGGAGACAGAGAGACAGACGGAGAGAGAGAAAAATGGATTCTAAGCCTGGGACACCGACCTGCTCCTGCCAACAAAAGCAGAGGGGAAGCCAATTGCAAGTGCAAAAAAAAAGTTTTTATTTCAGTGGGATGAATGTCTAGGTGTGCAGTCACTGGAGTAAACGTCACTGGGACATGCTGTGTAATTCTTTGTGTACATTGCTGAGTTCTACTGCTAATGTTAGCCCATTTCATTCATGAAATTGGTAATTTATGACATCCCTTTTTTCTTTATCATTATTAGTTAAGGTTTGTCAATTTTATAGATATTTTCAAAGAACCAGCTTTATTTCTTTGCTTTTCTTTGTTGTTTTCTTTTGGCTGTTTCATTTATTTCTGCTCTTATCCTTATTATATTCTTTCTTATATTTGTTTTGATTTTATTTTGCTACTATTTTCTACTTTCTTGATGTGATAGCTTGAATTTTTATTTGAGAGATTTCTACTTTTCTATTATATATATTTAGTGAAATACATTTTCCTCTCAGCACTGACGTCAACTGTGTTAAATCAAGTTTGATATGTTGTATTTTTATTTTTATTCAGTTTAATATATTTAATTGTTTCCCTTGAGAAGTTCTCCTTAGAAGTGTGCTTGCTGTTTAGCACTATTCACAATAGCAAAGACATGGAATCAACCTAAATGCCCATTGGTAATAGACTGGATGAAGAAAATGCAGTACCCATACAACATGGAATACTATGCACCCATAAAAATGAAGGAGATCATGTTCATTGCAGGGACATGGATGGAACAGGAAGCCATTATCCTCAGGAAACTAATGCAGAAACAGAAAGCCAAACATCTAATGTTCTCACTTATAAGTAGGAGCTGAACAATGAGAACACATGGACACAGGGAAGTAAGCAACACACACTGGGGCCTGTGGATGGGGGAGGGAGAGGGAGAGCATTGGGAAAAATCTCTAATGCATGCTGGGCTTAAACCGAGGTGATGGGTTGATAGGTAGGGAAAACCACCATGGCACAAATTTACCTATGTAACAAACCTGCACATCCTTCACACCTACCCCAGAACTTAAAATAAATAAAAATGTAAAAAAAAGAACTAAAAAAGTATGCTGTTTATTTTTCAAGTATTTAAGATTCTGCTGTTATTTTACTTTTTTATTTTTAATTTGATGCCATTTTGGCTGGAGGATACATTCTACAGGATTTCAGTTTTTAAAAAATTCTTAATGTTTGTTAAAATCCAGGATACAGTCCATTTTGGTTTATGTTCTGTGGGTACCTAAATGTTCTGCTGTATTCTGCTGCTAGGGGTTGGAGCCTGTTTTTTTCTTCTTTTTTTTATCTCCAGGTACAATTTGCCCTATGAGACACCTGATATAGTAAGTAGCCCATCAGGTATCCAGCAGTAAAAACTAAATTAGTGGAAGGAAGTCCTGTCCCAACTGGTTTGACATATTGTGGCTGAATTTTTAGGTTTTAGTGAAAATAATAATGATGGCTTGATCTTCAAAGTTGTTTTTTTTTTTTTTTTACCATTTCCCAAATAGCTGGGGATTATTGTGGTGTAACCACTTAAAACTCTGATGAAATGTGGAAAGAATTTCTTTTTCTAATTGATACTTTGTGAGTGCAACTACTTTGCATTGTGCAGAGAGAAAAAAATATATTCCAGGCATTCGCCAAATCAAAAGTGCATGAACAAGTCCCTAAATTTCTTCCTGTCCTCAGATTTCCACCATAAAGTTTCAGACCAAATAAAAAATTGTTTTTTCACTAATTTTCTTTGAGGAAATGTAAGAGAAAAAAAAGAAAGAAACAAGTGTTTTGAAGGGTAGAATTTTGGCAATTATATGAGATTGTAAAATCCGAATGTGGATTAGCTTCAACTCATCAAAGATTCAAGAACAGCTACAGTTCTAAGAATGAGCCAAAAAAAAATGGGTATGCATTGAGGGGAGGGAATTAGGAAGGGAATTTATAGCCATTCAGACATTTCCCAACATTAAGCCTTCATGAATTTTGCATTGGAAAGAAATATTTATAAATTAAGAAACTCAGTATCCAGTCCACCCTGTGATAAATACTGCAATGTGCCCAAGCATTCCAATTTGAGTATGGCTTTGTGCTTTGCCAATCATAACAATGGAAGATAGAAGTAATAAGAGCCTGCATGAAGCACTGTGCTAATGATAATTTTCCCAGTAAGAACAAAAGAGAGGCCATTACTTTTAAACATCATTGAATATAATCAAACACTGGGTAGGCTTGTCTGTATTTAGATTTTATAACTCTACGGTTATAGCTATAAAGTAAAAAAGACATATTATAAAATTTCTGTCATTAAGAAAAGTATTTATTATTACAAATGTGAATTTCTCTAGACGGTAAATTCTTTGGAATTAGTTGACTTCATGTAAGTTGATTTGTTCAGTAACACAGAGTAGACTTCTTGTAAATAGGAACAAGTGTGCATCTGATCAAGATCCACTATTTTCTTATATGTATATCCCTTTTCTGCCTTCCCTCAGAATACTATCTTTCACAAAACAACACACATCTCTTCCACCAACTTCTCCCCAGAATATTGCATATTCGATCAGTGTCCACAAATGTTAGATACAGAATGTTAAATTACTATTAGGTTTGCGCAAATGTAGTTGTGATTAATGGCAAAAATCGCAATTATTTTTGCACCAACCTAATAGTAACATTGAAACACAATATTAGTTATTCAACATCAGAAAGATCTTCCAGAACAGTCATCACCACAGATGGGCCAAACTATTATTTGTAGGGCACTGCAGTAAGTTAGAATTTTATCAAATTCATAAATTAATGGATATTTTGTTAAGGGATATGAACAGCCTGTAGTATAAATTTGAGCTATACATTGTTGGGAGAACAAAATAATAAAACGATATAATAGTAGCAATCAAGTGGTGACCTTTCTGTCACACTTACAATTTTCAATGCACTTGTCTACTTATTATTTCATGTGTGGATGGGTTAGCTGAGTGGCGGGGCCATCAGATGTCATATATACAGATGACTCCCTTCTGTACACCATTCTGCCATTAGTTGATGTATATTTTACTTTTGCTTTTCCCTTCCCATTTCACTACTAGATAAAAATCCTAATCTTGAGTTCTAAATCACACCTAGTTTTACTCATGTGTAGTTGTACCTGACAAAGAATTACACTACATAAATTCCATCCATTAGAGGTGTGGCCGAATGGACAGAAAACCATTAACATTGATTACTTCAGTGCATGTGGGATTGCAAATGCAGATGAGAAGGAGAAGATTTTTATTTTTTCTTTATATAAGTTTACCTTATGTATTCTAATGCAAGGCTCAAGTATCATTTATAGTGAAACATTAAAATGTTCTTAAAAGTTCATGTCCTTAATGTTCTGTAAAGGAAGCATAAACTCATTTATTGCAACAAATGCAACAATTTATTTCATTCCTCAGATTATTGATCCTGATATAAATAAAACTGTTCAGAACTTGCACAGAGATATTTAAACGAACAAAGAAACAAAAAATCTAGGGAAGAAGTGAAGAAAAGAATGCTTTTTAAATTACTTAATCATTGTTGATGGACTGACAACATCCAACTTACATCTCCTGAATTAAACCTGATATTTTCTTGGAGAGTAGTGAGGAGTAGTTGAGGGTAGATAGGAAAGAGAGTGTATTTTGAGAAATGTAAAATTTAGAGAAGCTTAATTTAAACACTCCCTGTGTGTCAAAGAGCTATTAAATAAAATTTTCATGATTTTAATATAAGTGAATCTGAACTAGCATATGGTCTAAGTTTCTTTTAAGTTGCACATGGATTTAAAATATAGGGGAAAAAGATCACTTGGCAAATATGTTTTTGGTTTTGAAAAACTTCCAAATGTTTAAAAAGTACTTTTCAAATCAACCATACCCATATGCATCCAGGTTTTCTCATCCTCACCAGTGAAGGATAAAAAGAAATAGAATTAAGGCAAAATGGATGGAGAGGTGATACATATGCTGTAAAACTATGTCAGAAATATCAGTTGATTCTTTAGGGAATTGGTTAAAAAAATAAATTTAGTCCTTATGGCAATTTAACCCAAAGAATCTAACACTTATTCTTAGTGGCTTAGGATCATGGATGATATTAATCTGTCACAAGATGATTCTATGACTATTTCCAGAAGTGGAAAAGTGCAGAAATAGAAAATGCATATGATATTGCTATTTTATTTTGTTCCAAGTCTTGTCACTATTGGTGGAAAACAGTTTTCCAAAGGAATGAACATTTAGATAAATTATGGAATGAAGAATCATTTTCAATCCTTTATGCATAGATGCATTGATAATAACTGAACATCTTTGGCATCTGGCTTCCAGATACAGTGACGATTCCTTCAAGACATCTAGAAATTAAATAGATGTGCGTGAACACTTTAAAAAATGTAAATACATTAAATGTCAGTTATTTTGAAATAAGTTACTTTTTTAAACAGGAAGCATTTTTAATTAAAAATTAGAAAATAGCTATATTTGGACAATTAGTTACTCAATGTTTTTTCCAAATAACAGATGAAATATACTTTGATGTTTTTTGTTTTAAATAAATGCAAATATATGGATGCAAAACAAATCAAACATTGCTACAAATGAAATATATGTGCTGTCAGTAATTCTCAAACATTGAATAATATTCAGTGAACTTCAACACATACCTTTGGTGGCCCGTTAAAATTCATTATAATGAATTTTGAATTAGATTCCAAAATGAACACACTATTTTCTTAGCTTTTAGCGTCTGTCGTTTTTTTCTATATTCATTTTTCTTTTTTTTTTTGACTGAGGTGGCGTCTCACTCTGTCACCCAGGCTGGAGTGCAGTAGCACAATCTCGGCTTACTGCAAGCACCGCCTCCCAGGTTCAAGAGATTCTCTTACCTGAGCTTCTCAAGTAGCTGGTTACAGGTGCGTGCCACCACGCCCAGCTAATTTTTGTATTGTTGGTAGAGATGAGGTTTCACCATGTTGGCCAGGCTGGTCTCGAACTCCCGACCTCAGGCGATCCACCCACCTTGGCCTCCCAGAGTGCTGGGATTACAGGCGTGAGCCACTGCACCTGGCTGGTTTTTTTTTTCTATTTTCATTACTAAGACTAAACAATAGTTATGTGACTGAATACAGCTGATCATTTTACCAACTCCTTTCAGCAAATTCATTTTGTCATTTTAATTAAGTTCAAATTTAAGAAGTGAATAAATATAGATACTATAGCACATATATTTCCCAAAACATAATATAATATGTGTGTGTGTGTGTGTGTGTGTGTGTGTGTGTGTGTGTGTGTGTGTGCATTTGGGAAATAAAAGAGTATTATATTTTACTCAAACAACATCAAACATGCAGTCAAGTAAGTTTGATGAAGAAGATAATATTTTAGCCTAAGAATGAGAATTCTGTAAGACAATGTGTTACTTTATAGTATCAGTTATGTGACCCTTCCACACTGATATTTTGGGTGCAATTGCACCCTCTTTGCCATATACTCTTGGGAGAATAGAAGGTTCTTCACATTTTTCCATTCATTGTAACTTCTCCTGTAGGACAGCCCACAGATACATTTCCTAGACTATATTAAGGAAACAAAAGCAAACAAATATGAGAAAATAATAAAGGTAAGTGTCTGGGAGGGTGAGAAATCAAATTCAGTGGGGTTTAAACTATATCTCATACAAGTGTCCCAAAGTTGTGCTTTTGGAGAAATTCACCTTGGATAGAGACATGGTCAAGTGACCATGTCTCTTTACCTTTACCTTTTTTAAAAAACAATACATAGCTGTATCCTTGGAAGAGAGGCAAGGAGTGCTGTAGGGTGACTATCTTTGATTTCTGTTGTGGTTCAGAGGAAGTGTAACTTTCTTAAAAGATACCTTGACTTTTGTCACATTTAGCTATTCGTTCCTTTTTATTTAGGAAAAAAAGGCTGAGCCTGCTGTGGCTTGGGCTCTTATTATCTTTTCTTGGGCTTCTTGGATCTCATAAATGATAACTCTACTTTTATTGTTGCCTTCTCCAAAGGAACCTGAATACCAGCATCACCTTCATTTACCCTAAAGCATGATTCTCTGCCTAAGAAAACCCCTATGGTTGACATTTACATTTACTTTATACCTCTCTTAATCTTTTGAGGAATGCCTCTCTACCTATTCTGCATGGTAAAGTTCTAATTAATTACAACTATGAAACAGATATTTCCTTCTTTTCTTATGTTTCAGATATTGAATTACTTTATTATTGCCAAGCACAATCTGCTTTGCTAAATTATTCAGTATAAGCTTGCTTCTTCCATTAGACTTTGGAATTCCTGAGATAAGAAATTACGCTTTATTCTGAAAGTGTGCTTAAATCAATGGAAAGTTGGTTTGTCCAAACTGGATATAGAGGAATAGAGTTATTCTGTACACAGCCACTTTTAGTTGCAAGAGCAGCTAGAAATAGGAGTTATGCTACCTTTTCAAAGACATGTCCTCAGCCAGGTGCAGTGGCTAGTGCCTGTAATCCCAGCAATTTGGGAGGCTGAGGCGGGTGGATCATGAGGTCAGGAGATCGAGACCGTCCTGGCTAACACGGTGAAACCCAACTCTACTAAAAATAAAAATAAAAATAAAAATAAAAATAAAATAAAATAAAATAAAATAAATTAGCTGGGCATGGTGGTGAGTGCCTGTAGTCCCAGCTACTGGGGAGGCTGAGGGGGAGAATGGCTTGAACTCAGCAGGCGGAGCTTGCAGTGAGCCGAGATCGCACCACTGCACTCCAGCCTGGGTGACAGAGCAAGACTCTTTCTCAAAAATAAATAAATAAATAAATAAACAAAATAAAGGTAGGCTATACTAAGTTAAAGATGCTGGCTGTAACCCTAGAGCCATCACAAAATAAAATAAGGTAAAATACAGATACAGTAAATAAGCCACTAGTGAAGACAAAATAGATACAATGAAATTAGAAAAAAATTAAAATCCTTTAAAAAGCCCCATTTGCCTCGATTTTCCTAATTACACAAAGGAGGCAAAGTGTGAAAAAGGATAGATCACGTTCCTCTAAGGACCCATGTCAGGTATCTGTGGAATGCAGGCGGTGCAGGAGGGTGGGAATGGGTGGGTGCCCAGCGTTGCTAAAGCTATGGAGTGTCTTCCCATTTTTAAAGAAATCCAGAAGTGCAGATCTATTCATTCAACCATTCATTGATGTAAAATCTGGTTTCTAAGGTGTTCAGTTTGATGACTAATATATGTATACTTTGCCATCAAAATCAAACTCATTCACATTCCCATCACCTCGCAGAGCTGCCCTCTTTCATGTGTGTGGTGAGAACAATAAGATCTACCTCCTCAGCAAATGTCAAGTATACATCGCAGTGTTGTTAGCTATATTCACAATGTTGAACAGTAGATCTCCAGAACTTATTCATCTTGCATAACTGAAATTTTATACCCTTTGACCAACATCTGCCCATCTCTCCTTCCCCCAGCCCCTGGCAACCACTCTATACCCAGCAATCCCATTTCTTTGGGGATATAGCCAAAGGAAATAAAATCAATATCTGGAAAACATACCTGCACTGTTATGTCCATTTGGGCATTTTTAACAATAGCCAAGTAATAGAAACAACCTAAATGTCTGTCAATGGATAAATGGATAAAGAAATGAAAAAAAATACACACACACACACACACACACACACACACAGTGGGATATTATTTAGCATTAATGAATAAAAAAATCCTGCCATTTTTGACAGCATGGATGGACTTGGAGAACATGCTTGGTGAAATAAGCCAAGCACAGAAAGACGAATAACACATTGTCTCACTTATAGGATGACACTGCATTCACGTTTCAGCCACCTCTGCCACACCCACCCATGCAAACACACCCACCCATCTCAGTTCCTGCCCCTGACTGGGGGACAGGGTGGGCGCTCTCTGGCACATGTTCCACTCATGCTTCTCCACCTCCAGCTATTTTAGGCTCTGACACTGAAAATGAAATTCTTACCAAGATGATATGTGTTGTGTTGACATAAAACTGATAGAAAGTGTACCAAAAAACATGGAAGTTTTAAACATAATCCACCAAAAGAACATACTCACAGTCGACATTTCTTTCATTATTAAGAATGAATGTCCATAACCCTCACTAAGACAAAAGTCATCCCATTTGTCTACATTTTTTTTCTTTGCAAACACACACTGAATGACTTTGTGTGACAAGCTGTGAAGTTTTACCAATTCTTCAAACTCTTTGATTTGCATTATGCTGTTTAATCCTGAGAGGCGAGCAGCTGTCGCTGGTAATTCTAAGCCTAGAATTCCACCACCTAATAGGTGAAAATTATAGTAGGCTGATCATAAAACCATGTTGTTAACTTTTTAAAATTTAATGACTACCAAGGAATTTCACCTTAGTGATACATCTTTTGAGAGATTAGAAAATGAAGAAATGCACGTGTTCAATGATCCATTTTAGAATTTAAAAAGTCTTTCAAATGAGCATCTTATTCATATATTGTGAAGAACCACTGGAAACAGTTATTTAATAATGTGGCTAAACGCGTATTCAGAGTAATGCTTCCTGTATATTTGCACATTTATACACTTATGTCCCGCTCCTGGAATAGACTTACCAGTTTCCTTTTCAGAAAATTTCAGAATTTCTGGAATGTGCCGAAGTACTAGTGGGTAACTTAGATTTGGAATACACTGTATTAGGTGTAACTGGAAAACTGAGAGGCTTCCTACACTGGAAGGTCAAAGATCTTTCCTGGAGGAGAGTTAAGAATTTGCCTTTTCTTACCATGACTCTGTTAAAAGAGAATATAAACAATGCAGTTTCACAAAAGGAAGGGGACAGTGGTGTAAATAAACCTCCCCATCATGTTCTGGTGGCTTTCCTGTAAGTCTTGAACGTTTTCCACTGGGTGTTACAGTCGAGAGGCCCCCACCTCCTGAGGAAGCAAGACCCCGAAACCCCGAGACGATGGGCTGTGCTGCTTTGGCCCCATCTTGCTTGTGTTGTTTGAAGGGGCCCTGCTGCCACCCAGCTGTCATTAACGCCACCCTCACCTCCCAGGAACTGCATCACTCGGACGGACAAGACACCTATGTAATGACCATAGTAAGACCCCATGTGCGTGGCTAATGAGGCAGTGCCCAACGTGGCGTGGAAGCCCTGCTAGGGAAATCCCGCCCCGCCACCCCAGATGCGCCACCCCAGACCTGCTCTCGGACCTGCGGCCCCTGGCCCCTGGCCCTTTCCCGTTGTCACCGAGGCTTCTTGCTAAGAAATGGAACTTCAGAAAACCCCCAAATATATACTGCATTAGGTAAGGGTTTCATTCTAATGGAGTCCCATGTGACCCTGGCTTTCCGTCCGGCAGCAATGCACTCCTGTCTATGAATGAGATGAAAAGAGTGCCCACAACAAGCCAATTTCTTTCAGGAGCGACTAAGACATGCGCATGTCCGGGGGTGCCTCAGAGCACCCGGGAGGGACCCAGGCCTGGGCAGGGAGGGGGGGCCGGCCCTAGGGGAGCAAAGCTCTTGAAACTGGCCTCTGTTGCCGGGCTCCTGACCCTGCCCTCCCATCCCTGCACTACAAGAGGACAGCGGCGACTACAGGAGGCGCCGAAGACGCTGCTGAAGGCCCTAAAGAAACTTCAGCAGAACCGGAACTCCCCTTGCAGGTCCAGCCGCGGGCCCTGCGCCCTCCCGCTCAGCCGAGCGGGGCCGAGGGCGCGTTTGCTGAGTGTCTGGTGGCCTCTACCCAAGCGCCTCTTCAGAGGGCTGTTCCTGCGGCCCAGAGACTGCTTGAGGCGCTCGGGGAAGGAAAAGCAGGCGCTGGTGCGCCGGGGGCTCTGCTGGGGACGGCGCGGAGCTGACTGAAGGGCCGCTGCGGTAGCGCAGGGCGCAGGAGCTGCTCCGCCCCGGAGCGCCGGGAAGGTTGGCGCTGGCAGCCTCCAGCCCCTGCCAGCCGGGCGAGAGCAGGCGGAGAAGGAGGATGCACCGTCACCTATGGCTCGCCTCCACCGGCCGGCACGCAAGGTGAGCTCTGCGTGCGCCCGGCGGGACAGTGAGGTAAAAGGGCGGGAGCGCGGGAGAGGACTCGTGGCCCCGGCTCAGCCCGCACCCCTCTCCTCTGGGATCCCGAATCGCGGGCTGCGTGGTGGGCCAGGAGAGGTGCAGAGCAGGCGGGGCGCCGCGGCCAGTCCGGAGCGCAAACTTTCCCTGGCGACTGCAGCGCTGAATCTGGGCGCAGGAGAGCGCGGGGTCCGGGCTGCTCAGCCCTGCCCGGCGGGGTACCTGGGCGCAGCGCACATGGGTCAGCCGGTAGGAATTGCGGGATGGGGGACACCCAGCGCCACTGTCGGGAGCCGTAGGAGCGAGATGGACCACCTGGAAGGCCCGGGTCAGCCCTTGGGCTCTGAGGCACGCGGCGTCCCGGCGCTGGTGGCAGGGTGGACTCGGATCCCGCGAGGGTGTCGCGCTAGTCGCGGGGGCTGCTTGAGGCCGGGGGACTTCGAGCCGCTGCTGCACCACTCGCTCCCAGCACAGGAGGAAGGCGCCGGCTGGCGTTGCGCTCTGCTCGGACTCACGGCAGGAGCGGGGGAGGTCTGCGAAAGCCGGGAGCGAGCCGGGGAGGGCCAGCGAACTGGAGAGGCTCGGCGCGCCGCTGCGGACGCGGCGGATGGCCGACCACGGGTGCCAGGGGAGGCCCAGGCTGCGGCGCCGCAGGAGCCCCCGCGCCCACCTGCCCCTGCGCGCCGGCCCTGGCGAGCCTCTGTGGAGGTCAGGGGACCGTAGCCTCTCCTGGGGTTCCTGCCTAGCGACTGAGGGGCGGCAGGAGGCGCAGCTCCGGTTTCCCGCATGCAGCGCTGCGTGCTCGCCGCCTGGTTTTGTCCGGGTCAGGCAGACCAGCCCCAGGACGCGCCCAGCCGACCCACGCATGGCAACCTGCCCTTCTTGGCAGGAGTCGCAGAGGGCTTTGGCTTCTGAGGTGGAAGTACCTGTTATGTCTCCTAATTCCGGAGTTTGCGGGGGTTTGGGCTGGCGGGGGGGCTCATTGGGAAAATGCTTTTCAAAGCATTCTGTTTGGCTGCCGTGAGCACCTATTTGCCTTATGTGCATATTGAGAAATGTGTGCTTCTACTAAGGTTAGTCGCTGAGCCCAGGGACAGTGTAGGCCTGGATTTCAAATGCATTAATTAGGGTCCAGCACCCAGCCTAGAGACTTCCACAAATGCAGTAGTTATTTCGTCACGGGGACTGAATGCGGAGAAAGTAGCCACACCGTTATAGGCAATTGTTATACCCTTGTGATCCTGCAGAAAACCTGTTTCTTAAATGTGCTTCCCCCCTCTTTCTTTCTATGTACTTTCAGTGCCTTGCAGAACTAGGAGTAGCGTGCTGACTTTGAACACGTGGTAGATATTTCAGAAAGGTAAAATTGTTAGGCTTGTGGATTTGACAGATACAAAATACAGTTGCTCAGACAACTAAAGCATTTATTTTAATAATTGGACTAATGTTTCATTTGATAACATACTAAAAAATAAAACAGGTTGGGCGCAGTGCTCACGCCTGTAATCCCAGCACTTTGGGAGGCCAAGGCGGCGGATTACGAGATCAAGAGATCGAGACCATCCTGGCCAACATGTTGAAACCCCATCTCTACTAAAAATGCCAAAATTAGCTGGACGTGCTGGCGTGCGCCTGTAGTCCCAGCTACTCGGGAGGCTGAGGCAGAATTGCTTGAACCCGGGAGGCGGAGGCTGCAGTGAGCTGAGATTGCACCATTGCACTCCAGCCTGGCAACAGAACGAGACTCCATCTCAAAAATAAAATAAAATAAAATAAAATAAAATAAAATAAAATAAAGCAGAGTATTTGAGACATAGAAAACAATAAATTACGATGACTCTGCACTCTGAGTAGAAGTAAAAATAAGCCAACTTGTTAATCTTTTTATGTTTCAACTTACTGCCCGGTGAGCGTGGTGGAAAATTCCTTGCATGCAGCTGTGCCAGGGAAGGACAGCCAGCTTCCTTTCTCTAGGTTACAGCAGGGAAGGACAGCCGGCTCCTTTCTCCAGGTCACAGGATCTGCTCTGCTTGGATTTGATACGGTGGTTAGTGCAGCCCATAGTCCAGTTGCTGCAGCAAAAGTTGCTTGAGTCTTTGATAGGAGAGGACACTTGAAAGCAGGAAATGAGAAACACATTTTGATCTTTATGTAGGAGCTCATTGTTCCTGACTCTCTCCTGGGATAAAGGACAGGGAAGAGTGGACTTTTTTGCACTTCTAGTTCCTTCTCCCTGTAGCTGTAGTCGTAGCAAGTAAAGGGGTTGTACTGATGCTTTTTAAGGCATATTATCAACATACAGCCATGACTTGTCCAGAGAATCTCACCTGACAAAAACTCAGAGAAGAAAGAGAAAGAAGATGAAATGGCTGGTTTTCAGGTAAATGTGTCCCAGTTCAAGGGCTGTGACATGGATAGACTGCATGGTGGTGAAGTCAGGGCTTTTAGGGTATCCATCATCAGAATAACATACATGTCTCTGAATTTTGATATTAGCCATCCTAACAAGTGTGAAATGATATGTCATCATTGTTTCTATTTGTATTTGCTTCATGATTGAAGATGTTGAGCAGCTTTTCAAATACTCTTAGTTTACGTCTTCACTAAAAAAATATTTCTTTACCTGTCTTTTAATCATGTTATCATTACTGTCATTATTATTGTTGTTTTGGTTTTTTATTTGTATGAGTTCCTTACATATTTTGGATATTAACCACTTAACAGTGGTTTGCAAATATTTTCTCCCAACCTGTAAGTTTTCTTATTGTTTTCTGTTTATAAGTTTTTTAGTTTGATGTAGTCCAACTTTTTTATATTTGCCTTTGTGGCGCACTTTTTGTGTCAGATCCAAAAAAATACTGTCAAGACCAATATAAAGGAGGTTGACCACATTTTGTTTTCTTTTAGGATTTTTAAGAATTCATGTGTTTTATTTGTCCTTATTTTGAGTTAATTTTGGGATATGATGTAAGAAAAATCATCTAATTTTATTCTTTTGCTTGTGGATACCCAATTTTCTTAGCTCCAAATAATAAAGGGATTTCACTTACTGCATTGTGCATTTTCAATATCCTTGTTCAAGATTAATTGATTTTATAGGCATAGGTTTTTTTTTCTAGGCTCTCTACTTTGTTCTGTAGGTTTTCGTGTTCATTTTTATGCACATGCTGTCTTGTTTTTATTACTATAGTATTGAATATAATTTAAAATCAGAAACTATAGGGGCGGGTGCGGTGGCTCACACACCTGTAATCCCAGTACTTTGGGAGGCCGAGGTGGGTGGATCATGAGGTCAGGAGTTAGAGACCAGCCTGACCAACATGGTGAAATCTCGTCTCTACTAAAAATATAAAAATTAGCCGGGCATGGTGGCGAGCACCTGTATTCCCAGCTACTCAGGAGACTGATGTAGGAAAATCACTTGAACCTGGGAGGCAGAGGTTGCAGTGAGCTGAGATCGTACCATTGCACTCCAACCTGGGTGACAGAGTGAGACTCCATCTCAAAAAAAAAAAAAAAAAAGATCAGAAACTATAATATCCTTAGCTTTCTTCTTCCTCAAGATTGCTTTAGCTATTCAAAGTCTGTTGTAATTTCACATAAATTTTAAGCTTGTATTTTCTATTACTGTGAAACAAGTTATTGGAATTTTTATAGGGAGTTTATTAAATCTATAGATCATTTTGGATAATGTAGAATTTTAACAATATTTACTCCTCCAATCTATGATAGCTTTACATTTTTTGTCTTCTCCAGTTTCCTTTATCAATATTTTATTTTTCAGCATAAAGATCTTTCACCTTAGTTGTTAAATTTGTTCCTAAGAAATTTATTGTTTTTTATTTTATTTTAAATGAAATCATTTTCTTCCTTTTAATTGGATAGTTTGTTGTTAGGGTATAAAAACACAATTGAGATTTGTATGCTGTTTTTATATTCTGAAAATTCATTGAGTGCATTTATTAGTTTAAATAGGTTTTTGGTGTACTATTTATGGTTTTTGTATATAAGATCATGTCATCTACAAAAAGTGACATTTTTTCAATTTAGATGGCTTTAAAATATTTTTCCCCAAATTGTTCTACTTAGGACTACTAGTATGTTAAAATAGAAGCATTAAAATTGGGCACAAGGTGGCTTCATTGTGACTCCTCTTATTTCGAGCAGACTCAACTGCTTTCAGAACTTTGATCTGTAGGGCAGATGCCAGGGCCAGGGTTCTGAAGCTGGGTTTGCATATGGCGGCCCTGATAGTAGGTGTGTGGATGAAGTGTGACTTCTGCTGAGTACCTGAGAGGGTTTTCTCTCCCTTTGTGGGTCTCTAGGTGGGCAGAACTGTCTATAAACTATGGTGAAGAGGGCTGAAACTGAGTCACAGACCTGCTTCAGAGGCCACAGTAAAGGTGAAAGGTTAAATTCTGTAGGTCTGCCTCCATTATCATGAATGTCTCTCCCCAGTTCTCTGTATGGGAAGGACTAATTCCAGACCATAACTGGGAGGCATTGGAGATGGTTACAGAGTCACTTCAGGATTCTCAGTGTGACTGAGTAGGATGGGTCAATTCCTAGTCTGTAGACAAGATCAGGGGTTCTCAGATTTGCCCCCTGAATGAGGGCCTGCCTTCCCAAAACAGCCCTCCTCAGTCTTTGTTTTTCACAGGGTATCATAATGCCCTCTCTAATCCCAAAGCTCCCATAAAGGCACTTTTGTCCATGGATGGCTGCAAAAGTATTGTAGCTGTGGGAAGATAAACAAGAGTGATCCCCTTATTCCAACATCCTTGCTGATGTCACTCTCCTTATATGGTTTCACTTTGTATTTTGCTGTATTACAAATTTGTCTGTTATTTTAGATTCATTCAGAACAATATGCTATAATTTCCACACCATGTAAGAAGTAAATCAGACAGGCACTCCCTATTTATTAAAATGTTCATTTGTACGTTACAGTTAACTGAAATCATATAGGAATCATTAACATTTTTGTTTTCTCAACCTATATCTAAATGATAAATTACAAAAAATTATTTCAAAATATTTGCATTGTATATAACTCATATTTTACAACATACATGGTTTTACTTTATTTCAAAGTCTAATGCTTTTCTTTGCTTCTAAAGAGTGAATTGCAGCCTTTTTATTTTCTGTGAAAATAGCATCAATATATTAATAGTAACACATTATCTTTACTGTCTTTACATAATCATTAAAAAAATTTTACTAGAGCATTTTCTTAATGTCTGTAGTGCATTTTCTGTAAAATTTTACTGCCATACAGTAGACATCAATGATTCCAAGTATGTGCGCTCCATAGGTGCACAATCACAGGTGAACTCGGTAGTTACCTAGAAAAAGGTGTTATAATGATATATCAATGTTGCATACAGAATTTTATAGGTAAATGTTTATCTTGTCTTGCAATTCCTAATTACTGTGTTTTTAGTAAGGATACATTTATAGGCAGTTTATTGTGTTTCTGTTTTACCTATGTATTATAATTTTGAATGACAATTTGCAACTCTGTATATATACTTTAAATCAAGGTGGGGTTTAATTCAAAGATGAATTAACCAGCTGTCTATCACTGTTAAATTATACATATGTATGTGCATGGTTGTCTCTATAAATATAACACCAACTTTGTTTATGGTTCATCTTGTGTATTTCTCCTCTGGGCTGATTTTTTTTTTTTTTTTTCGACGGAGTCTGGCTCTGTTGTCAGGCTGGAGTGCAGTGGTATGATCTCGGCTCACTGCAACCTCTGCCTCCCAGGTTCAAGCGATTCTCCTGCCATAGCCTCCCAAGTAGCTGGGATTTCAGGCGTGCACCACCATGCCCAGCTAATTTTTAAATTTTTAGTAGACAGGGTTTCACCATGTTGGCCAGGCCTGGGTCTTGAACTCCTGACCTCAGGTGATTGGCCTGCCTCAGCCTCCCAAAGTGCTGGGATTACAGGCGTGAGCCACCGCGCCCAGCCCGTCAAATATAGTATTATTTTTTGTTTCTAGATATCCCATATAAGTGTATTCAGACAACCTGTCTTGTTGTGACTGCCTTTATTTAGCATGTTAAGATTTTGATTTTATATGTTACATATGCTGATTTTGCAAAGCTGAGCAATATTCTATTTTTATATTCCAAATTTTATTTATTCATTTAAGAAAGTTGAAGCTGCTTTAGCCTATCAGCTTTTGTCAATAATGCTGCATGGGTGTGCAAACAACTCATTTGACCACACATGTGTAGCTGTATTTCTAAGTTTTCTATTGTTTTATTGTTCTTGTTGTGTGCATTTATGCCAGCACCAAATTCCTTTAGCTACTGTAGCTTCACAATGTATTCCAAAATCAGGAGGTGTGACACCCCCGATATTGTTCTTGATATTTCAAGATTGTTGAGTCTTCTTGGTCTCTTTGTAGTCTGTATAATTCTGGGGTTGCTTTTTTATTTCTGCAAAAATAAACTGAGAATTTGGAAAGGACTGTATTGAATCTGTAGACCACTTTATGTAGTCTGGACATCTTCATAATATTAAGTATTCCCACCCTTGAAGAAAAGCATGTTCGAGGGTGTATTGTTTAACTCCCATATATTTGTGAATGTTTCATTTTCTATTTTATTCAATTTTGGTTATAAAGAATAAGCAGTAATATTTCAATTTAAAAAAAGGTGTTAAGACTTGTTTCATGGCCTAACGTCTTCTATCAAGAATATTTTCTGAAATATTGAAAACATTGTGTATTTTGTTGGATGAGGTGTTCTCTACGCATGTTGAATTTGATTTTTATAGTGTATTCAAGTCTTCTGTTCACTGTGTATTTCTTGCTTCAATGTCATCAATGTTTGCTTTATAAACTGGAAACCCTGATGTATGATATAGATGTATAACTGGAAACCCTGATGTGTGATGTAGATGTAGATACAGGTATAAGCACACACACAGGAATCCACACACAAACAACATATACAATTTTTATAGGTTTCCAATGAATGAACCTTTGTATTATTTAATGTCTTTTTTATCCTGTAGTTTTGAATTAAATTTTATAAAATATGATAATGATTGACTTAAAGTCTTTTGTCACAGTGACTACTTCTGCTCTCATTTGGCTAACATTTGCATGGAATATCTTTTTCCATCCTGCTTTTAGTCTATCTTTGTGATTGGATCCAGTGATTCTCTTGTACACAGAATATAGTTGATGCTGTTAATACAATTTTTAGAATCTCTTCATGAAATATGTCTTTTGATTGGGAAAGTTAGTCCATTAATATTTTTAAAGTATTCTGAAATGGAACTTACTATTATTATATTAATCATTGTTTTATTATTGTAGCCATTTTGTTCCTTTTTCATCTTTCTTGCTGTCTCACTGATTTCTCTGGTGATATGGTCTGATTTCTTTCTCAATTTCTATGTTGTATTTCTCTAATATTTGTGGTTATCATGAAGATTACAAAAATCTTCTTAAAATTACAATATATTTTGAATTGGTAAGATATTCAGATGCATAGTTTTTTTCAGTATGTCTGCTCTCAACTTTGTAAGTCACAAATTATATTGTCATATTGTGTTTATAACTACTTTCATGTTTTTGTCTATCAAATTTTGAAAATAGAATTGTTTTCTATATTATAATTTTAATACAATTTCCTGTTATGTGCATGTCTTTATTAGAGAGTTATATGTTTTTTATATAATGTAGGTTTTTTCTAGAATTTTATTTTCAGTGGAAGAGACACCCCTAAGCATTTTCAGTAAGGCAGATATACTAGTGATGTACTTTTACTGCATTTTGTTACTTTGGAATTTTTTTTGAAGAATTTTCCTAGTTATAGTATTCTTGCTTTGAAAGTTTTTGTTTCAGCACTTTGACTATATCACTTAACTTTTTTTCTGGCCTGCAAGGACTGTGTTGATAAATCCACTGCAAATCTCAATGAAGCATGCTATAGATGACACAACAGGTTTATCTTACTGCTTGCTTCCAAGATTCCTTTTGCCTACGACTTTTAAAATTTTGCTTATAATCTGTCTTGTTATGAGTAACTTTGTGTTTATCTTAGCCAAAGTAATTTAAGCTTCTTGATATTTTACAAGTATTTTGTTTGAGAATTTCTGTCTTTATGACTTACTGTAGTCTTCAGCTCCATAATTTTTGAAGGTTTTTATAATTTTTTGTGATATTCTCATTTTGCTGCTTTCATTCAGTTGTCTATGTTCCCATTTCATACACTGAGCATCATTTAGATGGTTATTTTGAATATTTTCAAGTAATTTGTATATCTCAATTTTTTAGGGTTCATATCTGGAAATTTATTGTGTTTTTTTGGCCATGTTACTCTGGTACTCTGTTGTCATCTTTCATTGTGATTTGAGCATTAACAGAAAGCTGTCACAGTCTTTATAAAGTGGTTTGGAGTCTGACACCAATTGACCAGGCTAGAGATTCTGGAGGTTTCTAAAGCCTGTTCTCAGGCTGTGTCTACTCTGGGATTGTGTGTTTATTTTCTTTCTTCAGAAAGAAGTCAGAAGTTTACTTCTATAAGCATCATGCTGCATTGGAGAGGAAGAAGGGCTGTGGTGGGTAAATGCAACAAATTTTCCTTCCTCTACTATTTGGCTTTTGGCATTCTGCTTGCCTGGGGTGCTGCAAACTCTTGATTTTTAAACTTATCACAATGGAATTTTGTTCAGGATATTTTTGTTAAGTGTATATGTATATGAAGAAATTAGGGCCTATGATTTTTATTGTGTCATTTTGCTAATGTGCTTGACATAACTTTATACATTAGGTTTCTAACACGTACTCACCTGAATCTAATAAGTGAGGTAATTTATTTTCCCTTTTCCCAGATGTGTATTCTCATTTTATGGAAGACATGTTGCCAGAGTAAAGCACAATATATTCATCTTGAAATGTAATACTGAGAAGATATGGAAGTTATGGAAGTTGTGGCCTTCAGAATTGACACTTACGGAGAGACTAGAACAGCGTGGGTGAGTTGTGAGGGGCAGGAAGCATGTCTTAATGGACTTAACCAATTTTCGTCAACTATTCACAGTAAAATCTTTCAATGTACAAAATTTAATAATCTGATAAACAATAAACAAAATATTTGAATAGGCATTTTTCATAAGACGTACAAAGGGCAGACAGGCATACGAAAAGGTGCTCAACATTTTTGATCATCAGACAAATGCAAATCAAAACTACAATGAGATATTACGTGACTCAGTTAAATGGCTTATATCCAAAAGGTAGGCAGTAACAAATGCTGGAGAGAAGTGGAGAAAGGGAGCCCTTGTATGCTGTTGACAGGAATGTAACATTTTGAAAATTCTTCAAAACAACTAAAAATAAAGCTACCATATAATTCAGGAATGCCACTCCTGAGGATTCACTTACTAGAAAGGAAATCCATACATTGAAGAGATATCTACCCTCCCATGTTTGTTACAGCAGTGTGCTCCAGCCAATATTTGGAAGTAACCTGATGTCCATCAAGAAATGACTGGATAAAGAAAACATGGCACATATACACAATGGAATACTATTTAGCCATAAAAAATAAGATCCTATTATTTGCAACAACATTGATGGAACCATAGATTAAGTGAAATAAGCCAGGCACAGAAAAACAAACTTTCCATGTTCTCACTTATTTGTCGGAGCTAAAAATCAAAACAATATAACTCATGTAGGTAGAGGTAGTTGCCAGAGGCTGGGAAGGGCAGTGGGGAATGTAGGGGACGGTAGGGATGGTTAATGAGTACAAAAAAAAAGAAAGAATTAGTAAGACCTAGTGTTTGATAGTACATCTGGGTAACTATAGTCAATAATAATTTTAATTGTACATTTTATAATAACGAAAAAAGTAAAATTAGATTGGTTGTAACACAAAGAATAAATGCCTGAGGGGATGATGGATACCCCATTTTCCATGATGTGATTATTTCTTTCTATGCCTGTATTAAAGTATCTCATATATCACATCAATATATCTCCAACTAAGTACCCACAAAAATAAAAAATTTAAACCAATTCAAAATGCCAGAATTTCTATACATGAACTATAAACTACCTGAAAAAGTCAAGTAAACAATTTTATTTATAATAACTACAAAAAGTTTACTCATAAATGTAACCAAAATGGTGAAAGATTTCTATATTAAAATTAAAAAACACTGAGTAGAAAAACTTTCTAAATCACAAATAAATGGAAAGATATTTCTGGTTCATTGATTGGCAGAATTAATACTGTTAAAATGTCTACACTGAGCAAAACAATCTACAGATTCAAAGCAGTCTCTTATCTGTATACAAATGAAATTATTTAGAATATTTCAAAAATTCTAAAGTTCATATGGCATCACAAAAACACTAAACAGCAACAGAAATTAAGCACAAATAATACAGCTGGAAGCATTACACTACCTTTGAAATACACTACAAAGCTTTAGGAATTGATACAGTATGATAACTGGTTTAAAAAGAGAAACATAGGTGAATAAAGCAGAATGCAGAGCCCAGAAACAAATTCATAAAATTTCAGGATCTTACACAAAGGTGACAAGAACACACAGTGGGGAAAGGACAGTTACTTCAAAAGTGGTGTTATGAAAACTGAGTATCTCCAGGCAGAACAATGAAATGAGACCCTCCACCAACATAAATCAAAGACTCAAAACTCTGGAACTGCTACAAAAAACAGAGTGAAAGCTCCATGACATTGGTGGGGACAATAATTTTTTCTTATTTATTTCACCTCAAAATCCCAGCAAACAAAAGTGGAAGTAGACAAATGAGATTACTTGAAAACTGAAAAGCTTCTACACAGCACTAGGTACAACCAACAGAAGAAAAATAACGTATAAATAAGAGAAAATATTTATGAGTTATATATCTGACAAAGGGTTACTATCCAAAATAGACAGGAAACTCAAACAACTATAGAACAATAAACAAGTAACTATTAAAATGGGTGAAAGATGTAAATAAACATTTCTTAAAGGAAGACATACAAATGGTAAAAAATATATGAAAAAAATGCGAGGTAACTTATCATAAGGCTAATCTAAGGTTAAGGCTAATCTAAGGTTAGGACTAATCTAAACCTCTATTAGATAACAACTCACTACTGTTAGAATGACTATTAATAAAAAGCCAAAAAAATAATTATTGGCAAAGATGTGGAGCAAAGGGAATGCTTGCGCACTGAATGTAAATCAGCGTAGCCATTATACAAAACAGTATGGAGATTTCTCAAACATTAAAAGCTGAACTATCATATGATACAGCAATATCATTATTGGGCACATATCAAAAAAATCAAGTATGTGAAAGAGACATCTGTGCTGTTATGTTTATTGCAGCACTATTCACAATAGCCAAGATATAAAATCAAACTCAGGGTTTATTATCAAATAAAATGATAAAGAACATGTGGCATACATCCATTCTGTACGAATGGATTATTATTCAGCCTTAAAATAGAAAATACTGTCATTTTCAATTACATGGATGAACATGAAGGAGATTATGTTAATTGAAATAATGCAGACACAGAAAGACAAATACCTCATGATTTTGCTCATATGTGGAATTTTAAAAAATTGATCGCATTGAAGTAGAGACTAAAATAGTGGAACGAGAGGCTAAGATATTTTGGAAGGGGATTGGGTAGATGTCTTTCAAAGAATATATAATTAGTTAGATTAAAGGAATAAGTTAAAAAAATCTGTTGTAAAGCCTGGTGACTATAGTTAATGATGACATACTGTTATGTTTTAAAAATACTGATATAGTCAATGTTAAGTGTTCTCCATCACAAAAATGATAACTATATGAGGTAAAGCACTTGTTAATTAGCCAGAATTTAATATTACACAATGTATGCATGCTTTAAACCACATTTTACATGACAATACATATAATTTTATCTGTCAATTTAAAAAATGTAGAAACATGAAAAGGTAGTGTTTCAAATAATCAGTCTGTGTCTTATTCATAAGCTTAGCAGAGTAGTATCAAAATATATAGTTTTTGTGATGTTTTTGTCATTTCATTTGTCAGTCATAAGCATAGAAACTCAGATATTTACCAGCATGTGCAAGAACCAGCACAGTGCCTGGGAGAATCCTATGTACTTTAGAGCTTTTACTTTGAGCTCCAGGTACCTGGAATTCCTGGTATAGAAGACACTAAAAAGGCAGGTGCTGCTAATGGTTTCACCTCTGGCCCTTCTGTAAACACTGAAAACAAGTTTGCTTCCAAAATCACTGAGAAAATGTTTTAATCCAAAAGCCTGCCATTGTCTTTGAGATTTCTCTAAAGAGAATGACCTAGAATTTGGCTGTAATTAGGTGTCTGAGAATAAAAACTGTGGACTGTAACTGTGCCCATTCAAATAAAAGAAGTTATAATAATATGAGTGAGAAATTTCCCAAGATGGCAATACGAATCCGCAAAAAAGATTATTCCAAATTTTAAACCCACAAAGGTTATTTTATTTTTGTCCAAAACTTATTATACCCACTCAACAACAGAAGATTCTGCATGGAAACATAAGCGGTGGGATAAATATTTCATAGAAATTTGAATTTAAAATATTTTACTTACCACTAACTCTCCTTAATACAATTTTATTTCTAAGACATGTCTCTAATGGGATATCCAAATTTTGATTTGTTTTCTTATGTAGCACTAATAATACATGGCCCACTGGTATTAATACTTCACTTAGTCTAATTTGATATTTACCATTCTTTGTGTTATAATATAATAATGATTAACAATGCTATCTGTCCAACGATCTAATCCATGGATACTGCGTTATCTTATCTAAATTAAGTGACAAGAATGTTGCATTTGTAATCTATAAATGACCTCAAATTCTCCAGCTACAAAGAATTTTTAGGCACATTAAAAATAATTCTAACTTGTCCTCAGAACCTGCAGAGTACTGTGTGAAATAACATGGGGTGGGGAGAACAGTGAGCAAGATGTTGCCATAAGACAGGCAAAGAAAGAGAAGGGCTGTAATGCATATGTATTTGGGGGTGAAGATAAAAAGACAGTGAAAGAAAAACTGAAGATAATTAGAAAATAAAAGAAGCAGAATTTATCTGTCTAAATTTAGAGTTAGTTGTGCAGCCTGACTACAGATTTCCTCTCTCACCATGCAAAACCAATGCCACTTCTTCACTCTGGGTGTTTTTAATCTCTTATATGAAGATACAAACTCACTCGAGCAGAAATATTTCCTGATAATTGTAAAGCATTTGTTACACACCTAGCACCGTCTTGTGTTTGTTTACTTCATACAAATGGCAAGAAAATCCCATGGCTTATGAAGCCTCCCGAGTTTTTACCTTAAAAGCATGGCTCAATAAATTCAATAATTATATCAAATATGTCTACTATAAAACATGAAAGAAACAGTAATAAAAACATTTTGCTTAAATAGAATTCTCTAATTGAAAAGATTAAATATACTAATTAAATAATAAAATTTAACAATATACTCACTGCAAAATTACTCAGATCTTCAAATTATTTAGTTAGCACCATTACATTTTACCGAAAGAGCTATAATCATTAGGCAGGTCACATAAAGAATACTTCATGAACTTTGACAGAAGAAAATTGTATATTAGGTCTAGCATGAATAGAAGGCAAGCTAGAACAAAGGGTTTGGATGGGGAGATTCTGAACCACAAGATTTTAGAGATGAATGGAAAGCAGAGGAAATAAATTTGCTTTCAGAATCTGTGAGGTTTTAGTTTGCTAGTATATCATAAACACTCATGAAATCATCTGCTTTGTTCTGATATATTTTCCTACTCAGAATAGCTCCACACTCACATAAAAACAATTACTTCTCCAATTCTTTTATATCTGAAGTTTATCTTTAGAGTAATATATTTAGAAATTTTACACCATGTAAATTAAAACTAAAATTTTGTGTTTGTAGAACCAGAGATAACATGTTCAAAAAAATGTAGGCTGAATTTTCTAAATAGTTATTCAGAATTCAGAAATGTAGGGCTTTTGATTATACTCCTATATAATCTTCAGTATAACCATCACAATAACTTCACAGTTACAAAATAAATAAAAATGTAACACGTGGGAACAATATTCTCTAAATTATTTGAAGTATAAGGCCACTGGGAAAAAGAATCACTACAGATGTTATTCCACCATATTACTTAATGGTATAGTCTTACCATGTTTTACCTACAAGCCTGAGTAAGGTAGAATAAGTTAATGTTGACAGCAGGATGACACTTCAATCAATGCACAAGACCCTTAACATATTAAAAATATTTTTTATTTGTTAAAACAAATAAAGTTTACAAATAATCTGAGACATATCAAAATCCACTCTATTTTATTAGTTTTATGTGCATTTGGTGAAACAATTTTCTTCTAAATTTTACAGTGTTTATTAATAAAATGCAGAGGATATGCACTGAACACCTACCTCATGCATCGCTTACAACACTGTTATCACTTAACCACAAACAGCCTCTCCACTTAGATTTTCTTCATGTATCTTACATTTCCAGGTCCTTAATCTTTTATGGAGAAGTACATAAATGATGACCACCTAATACAGAAGGACCGCTCAGAGCTGTAATGCATCAAACATTGACCACATGCTTCCATATAAACATTAGGAATAAAGGCAAAGCACTAAGTTATTCGAAAGTTTAATTATATCAATACTTGCTATTCAAAACATTTAAAATTATTTTAATGCAAATAATTACACTCAATATAATTTTAAATCTTCAAGAAGCAATCTCCTACTACTTTTATCCTACATACAAATAAATTATCCAATTATTTTAACTTTGGATTATTCTCTATAATGAACACTCTGAATAATTTAACTCATGACAGGATTCATACAATTAACCTTTTAAACATTTGTCTTATAGTTTACATCACATTGATTACCCTTTTATCAGATCTCAGTAGCACCAAAAACCTGACAATGGTATAGACACTGCCCACTAGCCTCTAGACACCACGGTCATATGCCCATGGCAACGTTGAGGAGGTTGAGATGATGAAGTCCATCTTGTACATGCCCACCGAGAAACTCACCGGCAGCAGGATGTGCTGATGGCTCTTGCCTCTGCAAAGATCCTTAGGTAGAGGCTGGGGCTGTGAAGGTACCAGGATCTCCTGTAGTTCCTGAATGAGAGTCATCATGTAGACACTTGAGAACAGCATTATTTGTTTAAGAAAAACATCTCTGAATAATGACAGAGTGAAAAACAGTCCTCTGATTATGGAGTTTATTGGGAAAAGTGAACAGTATTTACTGACATGCAAATTGATCTGGGTCACATTGGAAGAAGCCACAGTGTAAAAGATCAGGCTACTACTAACAGGAAAACTGAGAGACCATGAGAACAAATGGAAGGTAAAAATTGTGGATTTCCATTTAAACCTCACCAACCAGGAAATGCTGGGGCTGATGTTGACGACCTGCAGCATGCCCAGGAGGCAGGTGGTACAAATGGAGAGGACCCTGATCACCCTCCTCAGGTAGAAAGATGCCTCATATTTGAAGTCATTCTGAAAATTCAGTGATTCAAAGAGCTGTGGAGACAAGAACACCATGGTGAGAAGGACCACCATGTGGATGAGGGCCACATGACAGACTGGTAGGTAAGTGCGCTCTGGCCTGAGATCCAGAAAAAGCAGAAAAGGAGAAGACGCAGAAAAGAAGGAGCAAAGTGTTGGCTGAGATGCCAATACCAGCTTAGAAATGAAAGGCATTTTTCATGGGAACACAAGTGCAAAGTAATCATCTGAATTACAAAGACAAACATACTTTGTACATCAAAATATGAAGTATAAAAAACATTTTGTACTTCACATCATCTGTATTATATATTCTATGGCCAAAATTATCATAAACATTATTTTTATTCCACTAATTTTTTTCTTAATTAATCCTATCATATAAATCCTTGATATATATAGTGTATGTGTGCATGTATGTATATATAATTTGATGTATAATGTTGAGAATGTATTTTGAAGAATGTATATGAAAAACTGGCTCACTTTTTACAAAGCATTTCTTAATGAAGAGTGATGGTTACATAACAATAACTCACATGTTTGTATAGTTGAGCTAAAGTAAATTTTATGTTAAGGGAAAATAATCACCTAAAGAAAAAGTTGAAAAAAAAGTTTAACTGACTCACATCACAGCACTCAGTTTCTCTTATTATTTCTTTCACTTTTAAGAATGCTTATAATTACATTAGGCCCAAATCTGTAATTCAAGTTAATGTTTTTGTTTTAGAGTCAGCTGGTTATCAACCTTGATATCATCTGCAGCCTGAATTCCCATTTCTCATATACCATAATACATGCCTAGAACCTGGTGGTTAGACATGGGGACCTTTGCATGGCATTATTCCACTTACCACAAGTCCTATTAAACGAATCCCTTAAAATAATTCTGGCTCTGTTCAAGTTTTGTTTTTATCCCAGAGAAATCTCATGAAAGCTTTATTTCATCTCAGGAGGAAATTGCTAAAATCCAGTTTTCAATGCTACAAGTACATGGACTACCTTTTTCTACTTTATGGGATCCATGAATTTGCATTAAGTGATAATTTTCTTGATGCTTCACTTTATACAGAGATACCCTTCCATGGAAGATACCCTTCCATGGAAAGATGCCTTTCCAAGCCTTGGAAAAACACCAAGGTCACTAATAGTAAAGATAATTCTCCATCTCTTAATCATGATATCTCTGTATGAGAACCCTTCATAAAATTTTATTGAATAATTCTGCAATTACTTTCTTCTTTGCCCTGAATACAGTCATCACTATTGTATCCAACTAATTCAGCCCGCAGCTTAGAATAATAGAGCTCTGGCTCATGCCTATAATTCCACCGCTTTGAGAGGCTGAGGCAGGGACATTGCTTCAGATAAACAGTTTGAAATTAGCTTGAGCAACACAGTGACACCCTGTGTCTATCAAAAATAAGAAAGAAATTAGCTAGGCATGGTGGCACGTACCTGTGGTCCCAGTTACATGGGAAGCTGACATGGAAGGATCACTTGAGCATAGGATCTTGAGGCTATAGTGAGCCAGTGAGTTGTGATGGTACTAATGCACAAACCACAAATATAAATGTGCAAGGCAATGAAGATGATTTGACAGTATTTTTTACCTCATACTCAGAAATTAACATCTGAGCTAGAAAACTGCTAACCAATTTTAAACCACCTGATATGGATGAGTTTACAAAAAGGAAATTGCATAGTTTATATATCAGTTTTTATTTTTTCTCCTAACACATAATCTAGTATAAGTACACATTTATCTCAATGTCCAGAACCAAACAATGGATAGTTGCCACCAAAATATACTGATGCCATCAACATGATATGGTTCTTTATCATGTTAAACCTAAAAGAAGCTCCAGGATAGTATCAGATTAAAGCCATAATAATCTCCATATATTAAATACTGCAGTCTAGTTCCAGAAAATAAACATGGACAGTTAATATACAAATAACTACTTACTACTTACGTAGAAATCACTTTTACTAAATATACTGTATGTATTAAAAGTTATATCACAGAAAGAGGTAATACAATTAGATAAAACAACATACGTAAGAATTCTATTTTTTTCTCCCCATAAGGTATCCAGATCACACACTTTAATTCATGCCACACCCTCTCTAATGACTACTACATACCGCAAAAGAATGTATCTGCTAATTATCAAACTTTATTTTTCTCTAATGAAGGTTTTCAGGTCATTAATGCTGAGTCTGGAGAAAAGAACAGTGGCTCCCATGAACAAGGGTTGACAAATGTAACACACTTGGTTATATTTGAATTTCAGGTAAATGATGAATTGTTATTTGTATATACTCCAGTAATTGCTTACACATATTATACACAGATATAAAAACATTGCATAGCTATACTAAAAAGTTATTTGTTGTTTACCCCAAATTTAAATGTAACTTATGTTTTCTCTATTTTATGTCACAAATCTGCCACAACTACCATAGAACTATTGTGTAATTTGGGACAACATGTTACAAACATGGGAAAACAGAATAAAAGAAAAAATATCAAAGGTTTTATAAAGGCTGAGTGCTGTGACTTATGCCTGTAATTTAAGCATTTTAGGAGGCAGCAGTGGGAGGACTGAGCCCCAGAGTTTGAGACCTGCCTGGGCAACATAATGAGAACCCATCTTCACAAAAAAATTTCAAAAATTAGCCAGGCATTGTACCACCTGCCTGTAGCTCTGGCTACTTGTGAGGCTGAGGCAGCAAGTTCACTTGAGCCTACACGGTCAAGGCTTCTGAGACCCCTGATCAAACCACTGCACTCATTCCTGGGTGTCAGAGTGTGAACTTGTCTCAAAAAAAATCAAAACATGAGATGCAGCAAACTACTGAGAGAAATTCACAGCAGTAAACACCTACATTAAAAATAAACAATTCTAAATTAATAACCTAATGTTTGGCAAAAATAGTTAAGGGCTAATTAACTACTCATCACACCTTGGAGAAAGAATATCAGTGCGGCAAGCAAAAGTCATGTAGAATATCTAAGAGAAAAGACTGAGGAGTGAGGTGCCTGGGGGATTCGGGCTTTGAAAATTATCCACATATTCCTGAGAATCCAGAAGCCCATAAGCATGTTCAGGGTCAATCAAGGGACAGGCAAATGCTCACAAAGACCTACGAAGCTGTTATCTCTCATGTCTGCTTTACCTCCAAGCACTGCACAAGCAGGAAGAAAAGAAAACAGCAAAGTTGTAATCTTTCTGGCTAAGTAAACCCAACTGCAAGAACTAGTAGATTTATATTTGATGTGAGCAGGCATTTGAGAAAATCTCTGTCAAATAGCTAGCTCACATGAAGCTAATAAAGCAGAGATTTTTATTGCTAAACACGACAAAAGGATGATATTTTAAAAATAATTTTGAAAACTCACCAAACAAACAAGTAAAATTTACAATAAGCAACAAAAAAACCCAACGGGATGAGAGAGAATATTATTTCAGGGTTGTTGTAATAGAAAAAGTCTAGTTTTCAGCAACAGCAATGAAATACAAAGCGTGCAAATAAATTAATGAAAAAATAATGGCCCACTAATAAGATAACAGATATTAACAGAAACAGTCCTAGAGGAATCGTAGGCATTGAAAAATCTAGAAAAAGTCTTTAAATTACCTGTCTTAAATGTGCTGCAAAGATAAATAACATCAAAAGGAAAAACATTTCAGAAGAATAGTGTCTCATCAAATAGAAAATATTAATAGAGATAGAGATTATAAACTGAAGCCAAACTCTAAAGTTGAAAATTAAGATAACTAAAATAAAAAATTCACCACAAAGGTTCAACAAAAGATTTAAGTAGACGAAAGACACAACCAGCAAGCTTGAGGTCACTTCAATTCGTATTATCCCAACTAGCAGAAATAAAAAATAATGAATAAAGATGAACAGAGCCTAAGATAACAATGGGATACTATAAAATGTGCCATTACAAGCATTATGAAAACTCCCGAAAGAAGGGAGAAAGATAAAATGGGGCAGAAAGAACATCTGAAGAAATAATGGCTAAAAAGTTCCCAAGCATGATGAAATACGTGAATCTACACATTCCAAAATCTCATTGAATTCATAGTATAAACTCAAAGAACTCTACACCAAGACAAATTACAATAAAACTTTCAAAAGCTAAAGAGACAACTTTGAAGAAAGTTATGGAGAAAAGACTACTATTTGCAATGCATCTACACTGACATTAACAACTCACTAAAAACTAGAGTCCAGAATATAATTTCTCACTAAAAACTACGGAGTCCAGAATATGATAGGACAATATATTTAAAGTGTAGAAACAAAAAAAAAAAGCCAACAAAGAACTCTATTTTCAGCAAAACTGCTCTTCAAAGATGAAGGACATCCTTGAAGACCTTTGAAGACACTAAGAGCTATATAGATTAAAACAAATTTAACAGCTTGTCACTAGTAGACCTGGTATGCATTAAATGACAAAGGTTATCTTTTGGGTTGAAATGAAATGACAAACTAGGTAATAATGCAAGGCCATATGAAAAAATAAAGAATGCCAGTAAAAATGAGTACATGGCAAAATATAAATGCCACTATTAAAGAATATTTTGTAACTTTTATCTATTGTTCTTTTTTACATGTAATTTAAAATACTAATGCATAAAATAATTATAAATTTTTGTTAATGTCATACAATGCATAAAGATGTAATATGTGACAAAACAACATAACATTGGAGGAGCAGATCTCTATTGAAACAGCTTGTAAAATAAAACTGAATTATGAGCAGTATTAATTTAAAGTACAGTTACACAGTGATGAGATTAATTGTCATCCTTAAGGTAGCCACTAAAAATACAACTAAAGAAAGAAGTGAAAGAGGAAATGAGAAGAGAATCAAAACTGTTTTGGAAAAATACTAGAACATTAAAGATGTCAGTAATATAAGAGTTAATTAACAAAAATATACAAGACTTTAGAAAACAACTAGAAAAATGGCAGAAGTGTGCCCTTCCTTATAAATAGTTTAAATAGAAATTAACATCTACAATTACAATGCAAAGATTGGCAGATGGTTTAAAAATAAACAAAAACCTGAACTAACTTTATGTTATCTATAGGAGAATCTCTTTAGTCCTAAACTCACAAATGGGTTGAAAGTGAAAGGATGGGTAAAAAGATTCCACACAAATAGTAAGCAAAATAAGCTGGGGTGGTTACCCTTAGACAAGATAGGCATTAAGACAACATTGCTATAATTAATTGACATAGGAAATTTTATGTTAAAAAATTATAAATCTATCAAGAAGATAAAATAGTTTTAAATATGCATGTACCTAACAAAGACCCCAATATATGAAGCACAAATGGCAGAATGGTAGTAGAAGAAAATTCTCAATGTGAACTGCTGACTTTAATATACCAACTAGACCTAACGGACAAATTCAGAAACACCTAATCAAAAACCTTGAAATGAGCAAAAATTGATTGCATTTTCACATTGTTTTCAAGCAAGCAATTTAACCACCTTGCTATTTTATGGCATGCTTATTTTTTAAAAAAAAGTTATGATGAAATATGCATAACATCATACTCAATACAAAGTTTCTGGTATATTTATAATTATGCAACTATAGCCATGGTATAACTTTAAAATATTTCCACTATCAGGACTAGACAATCATTACTGATTTCCCTTTTATGGACATTCCATTTTATCACCTTTATTGTTTGGTTTGGTTTCGTTTTTGAGATGGAGTCTCTGTCATGCAGGCTTGAGTGCAGTGGTGCGATCTCAGCTCACTGCAACCTCTGCCTGCCTCGCGGGTTCAATAGATTCTCCTGACTCAGCTTCCTGAGTACCTGGGATTACAGGCGCCCACCACTGCACCTGGCTAATTTTGTTTTTAGTAGAGACATGGTTTCACCATGTTGGCCAGGCTGCTCTCGAACTCCTAACCTCAGGCAATCCACCTGCCTCAGCCTCCCAAAGTGCTAGAATTAAACGTGTGAGCCACCATGCCTGGTCCATTTTTATTACCTCTTTATTATTGTGGTATGATTACTATTTTGTATAAATGGGATGATACACTGTATTATGTTTTGTGTCTGGTTTATTTCACTTAATGCATGTGAGGTCAGTTATGTCATTTTTTTTTTTTTACTAATTTTTTGTATATTTTAGAAAATGCATTTAGAAGAGAATAAAAAACTTTTAAAATAACTTCCGTATTTCTCAATGTTGTGCATTTTTTTCAAAAAATAAGCAAATATTTTATTTTTTTGGTTTCTTTGAGACAGATCTTATTCTATCACCATGGCTGGAGTGAAGTAACATGATCATGGCTTACTGCAGATTCTACCTCCTAGGCTCAAGTAGTCTTCCCACCTCAGGCTACCAAGTATCTGGGACCACAGCTGCACACCACCATGCCCAACTAATTTTTAAATTTTGTGTATAGATGGGGTCTCATTATGTTGCATGGGCTTGTCTCAAACTCCTGCGCTCATGAGATTCTCCTGCCTAGGCCTCCCAAAGTGCTGGGATTACAGGTGTGAGCCACCACACCCAGCCTATTTTTTTCTAAAGACAGGGTCTCATTCTGTCCTCAGCTCAAGTGCTGTGGCGTAATCATAGCTGAGGGCAGACTCAATGTACTGAGCTCAAGTGATCCTCCCTCACTGACCCAAAGTGCTGGGATTACAGGCATCAGCCACCATGTCCAGCCTGAAATAATATTTTAATTAAACATTAAGAAAAATAGAAGAAATAAGATCTAGTGTTTCGTAACACAATAGGACAACTATAGTTAACCGTAATTTATTGTATAAAAGATAGAATTGTTGAGTAAGGTGTGAGCACCAGTTTAGGGTTTTGGCACATTCTTTACACTTGAAGAGTTTCTATCTGGTATGAATTATTTGATGTTGAGTATGGGTTGAGTGTCTGTTAAAAGCTTTGCCACATTCTTCACATTTGAAAGGTTTCTTTCCAGTATGAATTCTCTGATATTGAGAAAGGTGTGAGCTCCTGGTAAAAGCTTTGCCACATTCTTTACATTTGAAGAATTTCTCTCCAGTGTAGATTCTCTGATGTTGAGTAAGGTGTGAGCCCTAGATAAAAGCTTTGCTGCATTCTTTACATTTGAAAGACTTCTCTCCAGTGTGGATTCTCTGATGTCGAGTAAGGTGTGAGCCCCTGTTAAAGGCTTTGCCACATTCTTTATGTGTGAAGTGTTTCTCTCCAGTATGTATTCTCTGATGTTGAGTAAGGTGTGAAGCTCTGTTAAAAGCTTTGCCACATTTTTTGACACTTGAAAGGTTTCCCTCCAGTGTGAATTCTCTGATGCTGAGTAATGTATGAGCTTCTATTAAAGGCTTTGCCACATTCTTTACATTTGAAGGCTTTCTCTCCAGTATGGATTCTCTGATGTTAAGTAAGGTACGAGCCTCTGTTAAAAGCTTTGCCACAGTCCTTACACTTGATAGGTTTCTTTCCAGTATGGATTCTCTGATGTTGAGCAAGGTGTGAGCTCTTCTTAAAGGCTTTGTCACATTTTTCACATTTGTAAGGTTTCTCTCCAGTATGAATTTTCTGATGTCCAAGTTGTAAGCCCCTGGTAAAAGCTTTGCCACGTTCTTTACATTTTACTGATTTCTCTCCAGTGTTAATTATCTTATGTCTCTTCAGATGTGACTGACTAAAGACTATTATACATTTTTTATTACATCTTTGTGAGCTCTCTCCAATATAAGTTCTTCGATGTTGAGTAAGTTTTGAGGATGGGTCAGAAGTTTCACCACATTCATTAGGGTTGTAAGGCTTTTCTTGAATATGGATACTTTGAGGATTGATAAAACACTTTCTCACATTCATTACATTTGTAATAGTTTTCTACAAAATGAGTATTCTGATGTTTACTAATATTTGAGTCATGGCTAAAATTTATCTGATTTTTATTACAAAAGACAGATTCCAAAAATTGATGTTGATATTTACTCACAGGAATACACGGTTCTGTAGGAGTAGCTGGCAGAAACTGAGGCTTCTTCAGAAATATTCTATGTTCTTCATCTCCTTTCACAGTTAAATTTTTGTTATGAGAAGTTGTCAAATATTGGCTACATAAATTATAACATTCTTTTTGTCCTTCACCTATACTTTCCCAGTTTTTCCATAAGCATAAATTTTCAAGGCCACAGCTCCCATATCTTCCCAGTGTTGCTTTTCCTAGTGTTGCTTTTCCTAGTGTTGCTTTTTTGAATGACTCTTCTATGCCTTGCTCTGGTAAAATGCCTTGGTTGTAATAAGAATATATAGCTCAAAGTAGTAAAAATAACTAATTATTCTACATACTGAATTTAGCTGAATATACTTTACAAATCTAATATGAAATTTTACCAAGCTGAGAACATGAGCACAATGCCATAGTAGAAAACCAACAGAGGACAGAGCAAGATGGCTAAATAGAAGGCTCCAGTGATCATTTCCCCTGGAAGGACACCAATATAACAACTATCTATTAAAAAACAAACAAAAACCTTCATAAGAATAAAGGCGAGCACTCACAGTACCTGGTTTTAACCCTGCAGTACACAAAGAGGCACTAAAACAGGGTAGGAAAGACAGTCTTGAATCACTAATGCCACTCCTCACTCATGCCCTGGCAGTAGTCACATGCTATGTAGACAGAATCTGTACACTTGGGAGAGGGAGAGCACTGGGATTGTGAGCATTGAACTCAGTGCTGCCCCATCATAGCAGAAAGCAAAACTGGAATGAACTCAGCTGATGCCTGCCCACAGAGGGTGTGTTTCAACTGGCCCTGGACAGAGGGGAATCACCCTCCCAGTGATTGGAACTTGAGTTCTGGCAAGCTTCACCACCATAGTCTAAAATGCTCTGGGGCCCTAAAGAAACTTAAAACAGTCTAGGTCACAAGGACAGCAACTCCCAGGTGTCATGCTGAACTGGGCTTAGAGCCAGTGGACTTGGGGGCCACATTACCTACTAAGATACAAGCTGGGGCAGCTAAGAGAGTTCTTATACCACCCCTCCTCCAAACTGAGGCTGCACAGCTCACAGATTCAAGAGACCACTTCCATCTACTTAAGAAGACAGAAAGAGTAAACAGGACTTTGTCTTGTATTTTGGATACCAGCAAGGCCACCAGTCAGAGTTATAAAACACCCTTCTCAGCCACTAGCTCCTAATTAAAATTTCTAGGTACATACTGGACTATAAGGAAATCTGCTGCCTTGAATGAAGAAATCCGGTACTAACAAGACCCATCAACTGCTAAGTAAAGGGCCCTTGGCCTGGAATAACCTGCAGTGATAACCAGGTAGTTTGCTGTGAGCTTTCATTGAGACTCTGAGGCTTGCTAGAATCAGGTGAGACTCGGCACATTCACAACTGTGGTGGCTACAGGGAGACACTGAAAAAGGTAGAGGAAAAACTAGAGAACTTCATCTTGCAACTTAGGTTCCAGCATGGCCAAAGAGAGGAAGAGCACCAGTGGGCTCTTGGGGTCCCTTATTCCAGGTCTTGGCACTTGGATGGCACTTCTGGACCTGTACTGGGACAGAAGGGACACCACTGACCAAAAGGATGAGTACCAGGCCAAGCATCATTCACTATAAGTGAACTAAAGAGCCTTGAACCTTAAGAGAACATTGGTGGAAGCCTGGCAGTATTCCCGATGGGCCTGTGGTGATGGCAGCAATAGGATGAGGCCCCTCTGCCTGTTGAGTAAGGAGGGAAAAATGGGAAGAACCGAATTTCATGGTTTAATTGCTAGCTCTACCACAGTACAATAGAACACAAAGTAGACTCCTAAGGTTATTGACTCCAGCCCCTGGCTCCTGGATGGCACCACTGGGCTTGCCCAGAACCTGAGGGAACTCACTACTCTGAAGGAAAGGATACAAACCTGGCTGGCTTACCACCTACAGATTATAAAGCTCCAAGACCTTGAGCAATTACTGGTGGTACCAGGTAGGGTTACAGCTCACCATGGGTGTGATCAAGTGCTGTGCTGGTTTCAGGTCTGACCCACTGCAGTCCTACTGATAGCAACAGAAGACAAACTCCTAGGCAGACAGGGATGGGTGCACTGGTGAAACTCGACCTTCAAGGAAACAACAGTCTAAAAAGCCTGAAAACTGAGCTACCAGTTCCAGAAAGAATTCATGGACTAGAGTGAGAACTTCCATCCCTGTCTAACCTGCTCTCTATTGGTTCTTTGAGAATGATGCCTTTTAACCAATTGAATGGTGTCTTTTCCAAGCCCACCCATGAACCAATCAGCATGCATTCTCCTGTTTTAAACCCATAAAAATCCCAGACTCAGCCTCACAGATGGCTACCTACTTTCAGGTTCCCTCTTGCTGCTGATAGCAAGACCAGAAAACAAAGAACAAAATGGCAAGAGTAAGTCTTTATATAATCAATAACAACACTGAATGTAAATGGACTAAATTCTCCAATCAAAAGACACAGAGTGGCTAAATGGATACAAAAATTAAGACCCAGCGATTTGTTGCCTACAAGAAACACACTTCACCTATAAACACATAGATTAAAAAGATTTAAAAAAATTCCATGTCAAAGAAAACAAACAAAAATAGCAGTAGTTGCTACACTTATGTCAGACAAAATAGATTTCAAGACAAAACTAGAAGAAGAGACAAAGATGGTCACTCTATAATAATAATGAGTTTAATTCAGCATGAGGATGTAAGAATGTTACATACATATGCATCCAACACTGAAGTACTCAGATATATTAAGCCAGTATTATTAGAGCTAAAGAGAGAGACAGGCTCCAATATAATAATACCTGGAGAATGCAACATCACACTTTCAGCATTGGATAAATCTTCCAGACAGAAAACCAACAAAGAAATCTCAGGCCTAATCTGCACTATAAACCAAATGGACACAATGGATATTTACAGAACATTTTATCCAATGGCTTCAGAATACACATTTTGCTCTGCAGTGCATGAATCATTCTCATGGATAGACCGTATGTTAGGTCACAAAACAAGTCTTAACACATTTTAAAAATTAAAATAATATCAAGCATCTTTTGTGACTACAATAAAAAAACCTAGAAATCAATAACAAGACAAATTTTTGAAACTATACAAACACATAGAATTTAAACAATATGCTCCTGAAAGGCCAGTGGGTCAATGGGGATATTAATAAATAAATTGAAATATTTCTGTAATATGTCACAATGGAAATACTTAGGATTTACAGTAAAAGCAGTACTAAAAGTTTATAACTAAAAGTGTCTACATAAAAAAATTCAAATGAACAACTTCATGACAGATTTAATGCAGTTTCCATGAAAATACCACCAGTATTCTTCACAGAACTAGAAAAAAAACCCTAAAATTAATATGGATCAAAAAAGTGCCTACATAGCCAAAGTAATACTAACCAAACAAATAAATAAAAAATATGGGGTCATCACATTACCCTACTTCAAATTATACTACAAGGCTATAGTTATCAAAACAACATGGTATTGGTATTAAAATTTACACACAGACCAATGAAGCAAAATACAGAATCCAGAAATTAAGCCAAACACAGGCAACTAAACTAATCATCAACAAGGCATATAATGACACAAATTGGGGAAAGAACACCCTATTCAATAAATGGTGCTAGGAAATACTGGCAAGCCACACGCAGAGGAATAAAACTGGATCCCCATCTCTGACCTTATACAAAAATCAATTCAAGATGGATCAAATATTTCAATCTAAGGCCTGAAATCATACGAATTCTAAATGATAACATAAGAAAAAAAACTCTTCTCGACATTGATTTAGGCAAAGAATTCATGACTAAGACCCAAAAAGCAAATGCAACAAAAACAAACATAAATAAATGGGACCTAATTTAACTAAAAAGCTTCTGCACAGCAAAGGAAATAAGCAGCAGAGTACACAGACAACCCACAGAGTAGCAGAATATATTTGCAAACTACACATCTGACAAAAAGCTAGTATCCAGAATCTATAAGGAACTCAAAGAAATTAGCAAAATAATAATTCCATTAAAAAGTAGGCAAAGAAAATGAATATATATTTTTTCAAAAGAAGATATACAAACAGCTAATAACAACCTAAAAATGCTCAACATCAATAATCAAGGAAATACAAATGAAAACCACAGTTAGATATCAAATAACTCCTACAAAAATGGCCATTTTTTGTAGGCCAAAAAAAGTCAAGAAAACAACAGATGTTGGCATTGGATGTGGTGAAATGGGAACACTTAACAAAATAATGTCATTTGCAGCAACTTGGATGGAGCCGAAGGTCATTATTCTAAGTGAAATAACTCAGAAATGGAAAACTAGATATCGTATGTTCTTACATATAAGTGGGAGCTAATCTATGAGGATGCAAAGGCATAAGAATAATGTAAAAGACTTTGGGGACTCGAGGGGGAAGGCTGGGAGGCGGGTGAGGGATAAAAAACTACATATTAAGTACAGTGTGCACTGCTCAGGTGACAAGTGCACTGAAATCTCAGAAAACACACTAAAGAACTTATCCATGTCATGAAAAACCACCTGTATTTCCAAAACAATTGACACTTAAAAAAAAAAAAACCTAATGACGTATCTTAGAGAGCTAGAAAAACAAGAGCAAACCAAACCAAAATTAGAAGAAAAGAAGTAATAAAGATCAAAGCAGAAATAAATGAATTTGAAATAAAATACAAAAGGTTAATAAAATGCAAAGTTGTTTTCTGGAAAAAAAAAAAAAAAGAAACCTGACAGACCTTTACTCAGACTAAGAAAAAAAAAAAAAAAAAACTCAGCAGGCAGTGGCTCATGCCTGTAATCCCAGGACTTTAGGAGGCTGAGGCGGGCGGCTGGACCACCTGAGGTCAGGAGTTCAAGATCAGCCTGGCCAACATGGCAAAACCCCGTCTCTATTAAAAAACACAAAAATTAGCCAGGCGTGGTGGTGGGCACCTGTAATCTCACCTACTCAGGAGGCTGAGGCAGGTAGAATTGCTTGAACTCGGGAGGCGGAGGTTGCAGTAAGCTGAGATCGAGCCACTGCACTCCAGCCTGGGCAACAGAGCAAGTCTCCATCTCAAAAATAAATAAATAAATAAAAGAATAAAAGGAAAAGACTCAAATAATATCAAAGATGAAAAAGGAGACATTTCAACTCTACAACTTATACTGCAGGAATTCAAAAGATCATTAGTGAGTACTATGAGCAGATAGATGCCATAAATTGGAAAATCTAGAACAAATGGATAAATTTCTAGACACATAGAACCTAAGAAGATTGAATTATTAAGAAATCCACAACCTGAATACACAAACAAGACGTGATGAGATCCATAATACAAAGCCTCCCATCAAAGAAAAGCCTGAAATCTGATGGTTTCACTGAATTTGACAAAACATGTATAAAACTAATAGCAATCCCACTTAAACTATTTCAAAACAGAGGAGGAGGAAATACTTTCAACCTCGTTCTGTAAGGCAAGCATTACTCTCATACTAAAATCAGACAAATGCATATCAAAAAAATCTATAGGCCAATATCAGCAATAGATGCAAAATTTCTCATAAAAATACTGGCAAGTAAAATTCAGCAACAGATTAAAAGTTTATTATTCCTCATCATCAAGTAGGATTTATCTCATGGATGCAAAGATACTTCAACATATGCAAATCAATTAATGTAATATACCATATCAACAAAAGAAAGAACAAAAACCACATGATCATTTTAATTGATCCTGAAAATCATTTGACAAAATTTAATATCTCCTCATGAAAGAAACCCTCAAAACTATAGAAGAAACATACATGCAGCCAAAAAACACATGAAAAAATGCTCACCATCACTGGCCATCAGAGAAATGCAAATCAAAACCACAATGAGATACCATCTCACACCAGTTAGAATGGCAATCATTAAAAAGTCAGGAAACAGGTGCTGGAGAGGATGTGGAGAAATAGGAACACTTTTATACTGTTGGTGGGACTGTAAACTAGTTCAACCATTGTGGAAGTCAGTGTGGCGATTCCTCAGGGATCTAGAACTAGAAATACCATTTGACCCAGCCATCCCATTACTGGGTATATACCCAAAGGACTATAAATCATGCTGCTATAAAGACACATGCACATGTATGTTTATTGCAGCACTATTCACAATAGCAAAGACTTGGAACCAACCCAAATGTCCAACAATGATAGACTGGATTAAGAAAATGTGGCACATATACACCACGGAATACTATGCAGCCATAAAAAATGATGAGTTCATGTCCTTTGTAGGGACATGGATGAAATTGGAAATCATCATTCTCAGTAAACTATCGCAAGACCAAAAAACCAAACACCACATATTCTCACTCATAGGTGGGAGTTGAACAATGAGAACACATGGACCCAGGAAGGGGAACATCACACTCTGGGGACTGTTGTGGGGTGGGGGGAGGGGGGAGGGATAGCTTTAGGAGATATACCTAATGCTAAATGACGAGTTAATGGGTGCAGCACACCAGCATACCACATGTATACATATGTAACTAACCTGCACATTGTGCACATGTACCCTAAAACTTAAAGTATAATAAAAAAAGAAACATACCTCAGCATATAAAAGTTATATATAGATATATATATATCACATATAGTATGATACTAAATGGGGAAAAATGAAAAGCTTTTCCTCTAAGATTGACAACATGACAGAGATGCACACTTTCACTACTGTTATTCAACACATGGCAGCTAGAGCAATTAGCAAGAGAAAAAATAAAGGGCAAGCAAATTGGAAAGGAAGAAGTCAAATTATGTTTGTTTGCAGATGATGTGGTCTTATATTTGGAAAATCCTAATTCACTAAAACACTATGAGAACTCACAATTTTAGTCAAGATATAGGATTAAAAAGTTAGCAGCATTTCTATATGCCAACAGTGAACAATGTGAAAAAGAAATCAAGAGAGTGGTCCCATTTACGATAGCCTCAAATTAAAATTAAATACCTAGGAATTAACCAAAGACGTTAAAGATCTCTACAATGAATACTATAAAACATTGATGCAAGAAATTTAAAAAGACAAAAATATGTATTTTATGTTCATGAATAAGAATCAGTATTTTTAGTGTCTATATTAACCAATGCAATCTACAGACTTAATGCAACCCTATCAAAACATCGATACTCTTCACAGAAACAGGAAAAACAATCCTATAATGCAGACAGAACCACGAAAGACTCAGAATAGCCAAAGTTCTTGTAAGAAAAAATTTTGCCTTTATGTGCCTGGCTTATTTGTCTTACCATATGATCTCCAGTTCCATCCATGTTGTTGCAAATAACAGGATCTTATTCTTTATAAGTGAAAAGTACTCCTGGGGGTGTGTATGTACATTTGCTTTATCCATTCATCTGTTGACATGTTGCTTCTAAATCTTGGCTAATGTAAACAATGCTGTGTGAAAGGAAAACAAATCTTTGGACCCCAAAATCACTAAGCTAAAGGGAAAAGTCAAGTTGGGAACTGCTTAGGGCAAATCTGCTTCTCATTCTATTCAGTCATCCCTCTGCTCACTGCAAGTCCTACCAGTACACAGGAGAAAATTTAAAAATGAATAAAAGCAAAATAATTCAATGAAAACAAAAAAGCAACTGTCATTACCTCCATAAGAGGTGACTGTGTAGGTAGAAAATCCAAATGTAACTGACTAGCTGTTAGCTTAACTGTACAAAACACTATTAATATTCCTAAATTCTATCCATACTTAGAAAATAAAATACAATAGCAAACTTCACCTGCTCCACCCTATATTACTCCCTCTGTTGATAACATTTGAGATGTCTCATGTAGCTGATTTATTTAAATATTTGCACCAATTCAGATTTAATCAAATTTTACTATTATTTTTACTTCTTTGTTTTTGCCAACTATTGATTATTATTATTATTTTTTTAAGACAGTCTCACTCTGTGGCCCAGGCTTGAGTGCAGTGGCACAATCTCAGCTCACTATAACCTCTGCCTCCTCGGTTCAAGTGATTCTCCTGCCTCAGTCTCCCAAGTAGCTGGGATTGCAGGTGCACACCACCACACCTGGCTAATTTTTGTATTTTTAGTATAGACGGAGTTTCACCATGTTGGCCACGCTGGTCTCAAACTCCTGACCTCAGGTGATCCACCCACCTCGGCCTTCCAAAGTGCTGGGATTACAGGTGTGAGCCACCACACCCAGCCTGATTAGTATTTTTAATGCATTTCTTTGAATTCATTTTCTCTTCTTTATGGAGTGCATCCTCCAGTTTTGTTTTTTTGGTTTTTTTTCCCCTCACAGAGTTTACAGGTAGTCAGTAGTATATACTTCTGAATAAATTCTGTCTTAGGTTGGTTTCAGTGATAGTTTGGCTGACTGTAAATTTCTATTTCCAATGTTCTTTTCTGTGAGAACTCACTATTGATTTCTGCACTTCTTTTTGCTTCTGATGTCACCACCCTGATCAAATCAAAGTCTCTCTCATTCCTTTGAAGCAAATCAGTTTATATCATTCTGGTGATATAAAATGTGACCTTCATGTTTCTGGGTATGCTTTTTGTTTTTGTTGTTTTCCATTTATCCATTTCAACATAACATGAACTTTTATAACAAAAGCACATTATCCTTTTCCAGTTTCTGGAAGTTTTTCTCAATTATTTTTGTTACTAATTCTTTGAAATTTATTAAAACTGGCTTTATGCCAAGTAAAGTGGTAACTATTACATATGCAATTTAAATGGCTGCATAATATTCTCTAATCACGATATATGTCCATTAAAATCAAAGTGGGAAATAATCTATTCGAATCTTCTATATCCTTATCCTTTCACTTTATTTTATGTGTTCTACTTGTCCATTTTATCTAGTTTTTTTCCCTCTCTCTTCCTGCTTTTCTTTTGAATTTATTTATTTATTTATTGAGACTGAGTCTCACTCTGTTCCCCAGGCTGGAGTGCAGCGGCATGATTTCGGCTTACTGCAACCTCTGCCTCCCGGATTCAAGTGATTCTCGTGCCTCTGCCTCCTGAGTAGCTGGGACAACAGGTGTAAGCCACCACGCCCAGCTAATTTTTTTCTTTGTATTTTTAGAATAGAAGGAGTTTCACCATGTTGGCCAGGCTGGTCTTGAACTCCTGACCCCAGGTGATCCACCTGCCTTGGCCTCCCAAATTGCTGGGAATACAGGTGTGAACCACTCTGCCCAGTCTCTTTTGAATAATTTAAATCCTTCTACCCTCACCCACCAATTCCATCTTTTTTCCTTTGATTGGTTTGGAAATTAAACCTCTATTGGTTTGGAATCTTTACTATTCTTTTAGTTGTTTTCCCTGAAATTTTACACTGCATTTTGCATTACAATTTAACAAAGGCTAAAATTAAGCTAATTTTAACTCCCTCCACAAAATAATGCAAACACTGTAGAATGCCTTCACTCTGATCACCTCATTTTTGTATTTATTTTCAGTTGTTCGCTTATTCTGTCTTGTTTCCTTTAATTCCACCAACCACAAACAGAAGTTGTTTTACATACAGCTTTCTTATTGTTGCAAATACGTGATTAGAGTTTCAGATGTGTCATCTGCTTACTAGCTACTAGATTCTAACTATTCATAACTGCACTCCTTAATCTTTTCCTTTCTTGCTAACCTTCTCTATTAACATTTCTTTATTGAAACTTTGTTGGTCTTAAATGCTCTTAAGTCTTAAAGATTATATTTTTCTGTAAATGACTACCTCAATTTTATTTATTTATTTATTTATTTTTGAGACAGAGTCTCACTCTGTCGCCAGGCTGGACTGCAGTGGCGTGACCTCGGCTCACTGCAACCTCTGCCTCCCAGGCTCAAGTGATTCTCCTGCCTCTGCCTCTCAAGTAGCTGGGATTAGAGGCACCTGCCACCACGCCCGGCTAATTTTTGTATTTTTAGTAGACACAGGGTTTCACCATGTTGGCCAGGCTGGTCTCAAACTCCTGACCTCAGGTGATCTGCCTGCCTTGGCCTCTCAAAGTGCTAGGATTACAGGCATGAGCCACCACACCCGGCTCTCACCTTCATTCTTGAAATACGACTCTACAGTTCTTCATTGGTAATGATTATTGCCACTGACTCTCCTTCATGGTGGTTTGTTTCCTCTGTCTACAATTTTCCCTGGAACCTCTGCTGCTCCTGGTATGCACCACTCCAAACTCACTGAGGCCAGACTCTGAGGACACGCCCATCTTTTGTAGTCACTCTCGTGATTGTCGTTATTTGATGAATTTATTTTTTAAATTAATTAATGTATTTTTTTGAGACAGAGTCTTGCTCTGTTGCCCAAGATGGAGTGCAGTGGCGTGATCTCAGCTCACTGCAACCTCCGCCTCCCAAGCTCAAGCGATTCTTCTGCCTCAGCCTCCCGAGCAGCTGGGATTACAGGCACCCACCACCAAGCCCAGATAACTTTTGTATTTTTAGTAGAGATGGGGTTTCACCACGTTGGCCAGGCTGGTCTCGAACTCCTGACCTCGTGATCTGTCCACCTCAGCCTCCGAAAGTGGTGGGACCACAGGCGTGAGACACCCCACTGGCCATGAATTTATTTTATGGAAGAAGATAAACATACTAAAGATTTCATAATTATTTTTCACTAATGTTATACTAACAAGAAGTTACATTATTAAATAATTGCACTAATACTGGTGCTCAATATTAGATAGTGGTACAGTTACTTTTTTGTTCCTCCCATATAAATTTCTCAGCTATGAATTTGTCTTGCCACAAAAGAGGCCTAAAGGATAAATCTATTCAGGCAGATTTGAGAAGAGTAGTTGACTCCCCCAAAATACACATTTTCCTATTTCAACATCATTGTTAATGAAATGAAGTGGCAGTGCTCACCTGGAAGAAAACACTTGCAAAACATACATCCAACAAAAGATCTGTAACCAAAATATACAAGAGCTCTTACTGTTCAATAGTAAGACGATAAATCACCCTAATAAAAAATAGGCAATGGTTTAAACAGATGCTTCACCAAAGAAGACATACAGACAGAAGCAAGCACAAGAAAAGATGCTCTAGATTGGGCGCCGTGGCTCACGCCTATAATCCCAGCACTTTGGGAGGCCAAGGCGGGTGGATCACCTGAGCTCAGGAGTTCGAGACCAGCCTGGCCAACATGGTGAAACCCTGTGTCTACTAAAAATACAAAAAATTATCTGAGCATGGTGGCAGGTGCCTGTACTCCCAGCTACTTGGGAGGCTGAGGCAGGAGAATCGCTTGAACCTGGGAGGTGGAGCTTGCAGTGAACGAAGATCGCGCCACAGCACTCCAGCCTGGGCGACAGAGCAAGACTCAGTCTCAAAAAAGGATATATATAATGATATAGCACTGCATATGTATCAGAATGGCTAAAATTAAAGATGGACCATACCAAAGCTGGTCAAGATATAGAGCCACTGAAACTCTCATACACTACTGCTGAAAATGGAAAATGGTTCAACTGCTTTGGGAAACAACTTGGCAGTGTATTAAAAAGTTGAGCATGCACTTACCATATGCACTAGGCATTCTACTACCAGGTATTTAGCCAAGAGAAACAAAGGAATATGCCTACAGAAAGGCTAGTTCACTACTGATCGTAGTCACATTGCTTGATACTTGAGGTCCACAGGAGCAGTAATAGTGACTAAAATTCACTGAGATTTACTAAGTTCCAGGTATTACTTTCATATATTAATTTGTTTAATCTTCATTAACATTTCCATGAGGAAGCAGTGAGGGAGGAAGGACATCTCTCTGGCCAGCCAAATTCCTGGCCAGCCAAATTCCCTTAAGTCAACCATCAATCACTTACCATCGAGGTCGAGTTCATCCTCCTCCAAGGGAAGGCTGAAGATACTGATGGCGGCTCAGTTATGGTATCTCTCAGGGAAGGGAAAAAACTGGCTTCTTCCCTAGAGAGTGGGGCCGTGATCAATGTGGCCATGATTAATGACACACATGTCCTTTTCATGATGAGTTTCATGGTGCATCGCATGCTAGCCTACAGACTGTACCTTTCCACTCTTCCTGTTTCACTTTGCAATGATATTCACTAGAAAAAGGATCTTTTTCTGGGCTAACAGGCAGCCAATCTTCCAGCAAATGAACTGGGTCACTTAATGAAGAACCATAAGTTGTCATCAATAGTGATGCAGACTTCTCAATGATCAGGTTTGCAGGTTTACAAAGACAGATCAGTAGTTCTTCGTGACAAAGAACAGTAAATGATTATGATCAAAATTGTATTCTTATAATCTAAAACACCAATATTGTCTTTCTTTTTCTTTTTTTTTTTTTTTTTGAGACGGCGTCTTTCTCTGTCACCCAGGCTGGAGTCCACTGGCGTGATCTCAGCTCACTTCAATCCCCGTTTCCTGGGTTCAAGCAATTCTCCTGCCTCGACCTTTCAAGTAGCTGGGAGTACAGGTGTGTGTCACCACGCCCAGCTAATTTTCTGTATTTTTAGTCCAGACGGGGTTTCACCATGTTTGCCAGGCTGGTCTCAAACTCCTGACCTCAGGTGACCCACCCACCTTGGACTCCCAAAGTGCTGAGATTACAGGCATGAGCCACTGCACCTGGCTAATGCCTTGCAGTACACATCTAAAGAGAGCATTTGACTTTATCTAACCAGTGCTTGACTCTGAAATCTGTTAACTGTATGTCTTCTATGTCTGAAAGTATTTTTTTTCCAATTCCTATGCTAAGTGCTCTATTTACTTCCTTATCTCATGTGAACCTTACAAACCATACGAACGTATTTTTTAGAAATTTTCCTTGAAACTTTAAGAAAGCAAATGGCAATGTGGTGTGTGCTTTCTTAAACTTCCTTAAAACTTTATTCAGTGTATCCTCTTCCCAGCCTCACTTTTTGTGACTCTTGGCAATGACTGCATCTTTCACACCATAGAAAATAACCTGCTCTGAAACATCAACGCTCACAAGCTGGTCTTACCAGAACCTCCATGAACCAAATGCTGCAAAGAAGCCTCAGAATCACAGATGCATAACATCTAGCTAGCCTGATAACATTACACAGCTGTTTATTTTTTATTTTTATGTCTATTACTTTTAGTGTAGCAGTTTTCTTATACTCAAATGTCTAAACATTGAAAACTCAGCCAATGCAAAGCTATACAACAAACCCTTTGACAGCCTTCGCACATTTGAACAGTATTATTTTTCTTAAATGAGCCAATTCTGAGACACAAATTTCATAATTCTTGAAAGATTTTCTTCCACAATAGAAATTTTGGTTAAAATGATTTATTTGACCCGAATCAAATCATGGAATTATGTTCTAAAACTAACTGTATTACATTTATTACATCTATTGGCCCTCAAGCCAAAATTCTGCCAGCCATTTCTCGTCTTCGTGCTGTGCTCACAAGGACCAGCAGCATGTGCTAATACTGACTGTCTGCCCAGTAACATGCTAGAGTATGAGGAAGGCACCTCAGGCACATGGAGGCAATAGCTGCAACTGGGTCAAGGCACATGCCCTATTTCTTCATCACTCACACACTCAGAAATCCACAATGGGGAATATGCATTTTGCATGGAAGAAAAAAATGACTCAATCCTAGCTAGGGGGATTCCCACCTCACTCCCTCACAGCACTCTCTACCCAACCACCTTCCCTCGCCACACTCAGACATGCTCACACCTACACACAAGGATGATCTGGCCACTTCTCCCATTAATTCACCACTCCTAGAAAAACTGTATTTGGCTTAACTTTATCAAGCTGTCTGGCTGCCTGAAGATTTATAGATGTCAAAATAAAAAACTAATTACAACTCGGAATACCGCAGTAGCACCTGATTTAATGTCTAAGGCAGCAGGCCAGTGAACATACTGAGAAAGGAGAACCCTCACACACTCTCCATAAAGGAGCCATGATGGGGATCAGCATGGAGGATCCTCAGAAAACTAAAACTAGAGTTACTATATGCCCACAATCCCACTGATGGGTATACATCCAAAAGAAACAAAAAACAATATATCAAAAAGATATCTGCACTCCCATGTTTATCTCAGCCCTATTCACAACAGCCAATATATGGAGTCAACCTAAGTGCCCATAACAGATGAATGCATAAAGAAATGTGGTATGTATACACAATGGAATACTATTCAGCCATAAAAAAGAATGGGATCCTGTCATTTGCAGCTACAAGGCATAACTGGGGATCATTGTATTAAGTGAAATAATCCAGGCACAGAAAGAAAAATATTACATGTTCTTAGTCATATGTGAGAGCTGAAAAAGTGGATCTTATGAAGACAGAGAATAAACTGATGATTACCAGAAGCTGGGAAGGATTTGGCAGGGGAGGGCTCAGGAGGCTGAGGCAGGAGAATTGCTGGAACCCGGGAGGTGGAGGTTGCAGTGAGCCAAGATCATGCCATTGCACTCCAGGCTGGGGGACAAGAGCGAGACTTCATCTCAAAAATAAAATCATAAAATAAAATAAAATTGAAAAAAGTTCCCGGTTATCATGTTGTTGAGTACTACTTAATCAGAATATACTTGAAAACAAAAGATTCTTTGTGGTTTTTTAACTGTTGGTAATTAATCCATTTTAGGCAGTCTTAAAAAAATGATGTAGGACAGGGAAACCAATATGAAATGGGTAGTCTGAAAAGCAGTTATTAGATATTGACCATCATTTTAGGAAAGGCAGGCTATTTACCCCACTATATGCTCCCAGGTAAACTTGTCTTCGATTCCTGTTAAGTCAAACAGGAAAAACCAAACTTGCCATCTCTCTATATTTACTATCATTTAAAAAATTCTGTTAAGAGACACCAAAACATAGTATTTCGTACCTCCTTGCAACATAAAAAATTGGCTTCCCAGCTTTGGAATTCCCAGCTTGGTAAAAAATACTTAATGTTTTCAAAGCCTTGATCTCTTCTTTTTCACATACCTGATGCCTAAAAGAAAAAGAACAGGGTAACTGTGAGGCTTTGTGTTGTCTACTGAGTATGTAAAACAGTCCATAATTGGATAAACAATAAAATGCTAAAATGAAAAATTATTTTAAAAGCAACAGGCATTCTAAAGGGTAATTTGACAACATGCACAAAAAATCTCAAGATATTACTCTTTGAACCACAAAAGCACTTTTAGGACTATTCTAAGAGAACTACTGGATGAGGATATTAACCATAGGATTGTTTTTACTCATGACTTCTTTGTGTCAGACAGAAGTTTATGATTTTTTAACGAATTCATTTTATTAACCTTTTCCTTTCTAGTTTATGGATTTTGAATGGATGAAAAAGGCCTTGCTTTGCCCATGTTTTTTTTTCTTTCTGATTTATGGGAGTCTATCCTCATAAATGGTATGAAAATATTTTTTCAGATCATTACTCAGTTTTATCAACACCATTTATTGAAAGTCCATCCTAATCTTGATTTCAAATACCACTTTTATCATATATTATGTTCCCATATGTATTAAAGCCTGGTTTACTTTTTATATAGTCTGCTCAAGACTCAGTGTGCTTCTTTAACTTCAAGATTAATGTCATTCATCAACTCTAGAAAACATTCATCCTTTACCTTTTCAAATATTACTTCTTCCCATTCTCACTGAGCTCAATTTCTAGGGAACACCTACTAGACATATTTTGGAACTTCTCATTCTATCTTCTGCATCTCTTAATCTCTTTCATATTTTCCATTTCTTTGTCTGTAATGACTGTATGCTAGGTAATTTGCTTAGAAACTACCTTCAGCTATAAACTTAATTAATTAATTAATTAACAGATGGAGTTTTGCTCTTGTCGCCCAGGCTGGAGTGCAGTGGCACGATCTCAGCTCACTGCAACCTCTGCCTCCCAGGTTCAAATGATTCTCCTGCCTCAGCCTCCCAAGTAGCTGGGATTACAAGCACCTGTCACATGCCTGGCTAATTTTTATTTTTATTTTTTTTTTAGTAGAGATGGGGTTTCGCCATGTTGGCCAGGCTTCTCTCAAACTCCAAACCTCATGTGATCCACCTGCCTCAGCCTCCCAAAGTGCTGGGATTATAGGCGTAAGCTACTGCACTCTTCCTAATTTTTTTTAAGTATACATGTTTTCTTTTACACTTAGTGTATCTATGAGTATTGTGATTTGGGAAGGAGACTATATTAACTCAGCCCATCATGCTGCTGGTACCAGGTCAGCATTTTAAAAATATTAATGGAAACAACCTAGATATCATTTGATAGGAGAAAAACATATACATGTGCATAGATAAATGACTGGGAGACTATACACCATACGTTAACTGAATTATTTCTGAGCAGGAGGATAAACAATTTTTAAGTTTTTTTTTACTTTCTTTAGATTTCTATATTGAGTAATCCAATAATTTTTTTTAAATAACAGAATATTGGCTGGGCATGGTGGCTCGTGCCTGTAATCCCAGCACTTTGGGAGGCTGAGGCCGGTGGATCACCTGAGGTCAGGAGATCGAGGCCATCCTGGCTAAAACGGTGAAACCCTGTCTCTACAAAAAATACAAAAAATTAGCCAGGCGTGCTGGCGAGCGCCTGTAGTCCCAGCTACTTGGGAGGCTGAGGCAGGAGAATGGCGTGAACCCAGGAGGCAGAGCTTGCAGTGAGCCGAGATCATGCCACTGCACTCCAGTCTGGGCAGCAGAGCGAGATTCTGTCTCAAAAAAAAAAAAAACAAACAAAAAAAAAACTGAGACTATTATAAAGCTACCTTCATTTTTTTAAAACAGAAAATGGGTCTCCAAAAGCATCAGTGGGAATTTAGAACAAAAATAAGATCTAACATTTATTAAACACTTTACAAGTACCAGATACTGTCCTAAGTATACTATATATATTAGATCACATAATCTTCAAAAGCACAAAAGACTGCTTTGTAAGGAAAGGTAGGATCTTAGAAAAAAAGGAGTAATAAAAACATTTTCCTAGAAAAATAGAAAAATGGCCAGGATGCCCTCAGTGATGTTAAATTTAAAAATTGTTTGTTTTGATGTACTCATCTTTATATGTATTTCTATTTACTTATTTTTTTTACTTCTTTTAGTTTATATTTTTACTTATTTCTTTATTTATAGACAAGTCTCATTCTGTAGCCTAGGCTGGAATGCAGTGGTGCATTCACAGTTCACTTCAGCCTTGAGCAAACCTCCCACCTCAGCCTCCCAGGTAGCTGGGACCACAGGTACGCACCACCACACCTGGTTAATATCTTATTATTTGTAGAGATGGAGTCTTGCTATGTTGCCCAGGCTGGTCTCAAACTCCTGGCTCAAGCAATCCTCCTGCCTTGGCATCCCAAAATGCTGGGATTACAGACATGAGCCACAGTGCCCAACCTATTTATTTATTTATTTAAGACAAGGTCTCACCATGTTGCCCAGGCTGGTCTTGAACTCCTGGTCTCAAGTGATTCTCCAACCTTGGCCTCTCAAAATGTTGGGATTACAGGTATGACCCACCATGCCTGGCCTAAAAATAGTATTATATTTTTGTATTATATAATTTTCAATTAGGTAATATGAATATTCTGTACAGAAAATATGCCCTTAATTACATAGGAATAAACGTTTGCTACACTAAGAAAAATCTAACAAAGCTAAAAATAAAAATTAATTTGGAAAGTACATTATATACCCATACATTCTTATGTTTATACATTCTTTCATATATTCATATATTCTTTTAACAGTATCAATGGTTTGGAGTTATGTGTACAAAACCATGACCTATATGTAATACAACTAACAACAGGCACTTACAATTCAAGGCATATGATATACAAAGCTTTAACTTCTCATCATCAGATTTTGTTTTTTTCTTTCTGTTTTGGCAGATACTGTGAACACAACATTCAACTCACAGACACTATGGAGACCTTACTAAGCATAAGTTACTGTGAAATGTACTTTAAAAGATTCAGCAAACTACTCTCACTGTATCATCATAGAGTCAGTGTCTAACCATGAAGATCTTTTTGTTCACAAGCTAAATGCCATGAAATGGGATTCAAAACAAATGTCCACAGAAATTTTATAGCAATACTGAAGTAGACTATATTTTCTGAGCCTTAATCTAAAAGAAGTTAAAACCATTCATCTTTATGAGGGTTCTGAAAAGTGTTATAGTGTAGTAGAAAAGTTCTGCACTTAAAACCAAAAGACCTATGAATCAGGTGTGGGATCTCACACAAGCCAGTTATTCACACTGAGTTGCATTTTCCTTAACTATCATCTGAAAATAATGTTTTCTTCATTCCCTGGTAGGTATTAAATGTGAAAACTTATGAAAGCGAGATGATAAAATATGATTTGTTACTACTATTATGGCAATCAACATATAAAACATATTCTTTCTATATATATATATATATATAAATAAATAATATATAGAATAGGAGAAAAGTTGGGTCCCCAAACATGGCAATGTGATTATTAGATGCATCTTTCCTCATAGTCTTCTATCATATCTAACAAGTGGCCTAGTGGTAAACTCTGCTTCTCAACCAAAAAGAAAGCAATCTACATTTCAAGGTTGTACTTTACCTCATCATAAATTCCTCAAACTTTTAACTGGTAAGGTTAAGGCTGGACCGGTATGTATCTGCCACAGGTTTGTGCTCTGGAGGACCGAGGTATACAAGAAGTGTTGCCATTTATCAAAAGGTCATCTTCCAACAGCTTTATGATCCCTAGATATAGCAAACTACTTAGAAAAAAGTAGCAGTTCACATTTAGCAGTACACATTTCTTTAACTTGTAACTGTTGCTTTTCCTTTAACTGTCAGCTGGTGGTCCCTGTTGATTTGTAAACAGTACCCAAAAGACCTCAGGCCCATGTCTACTTCAATCCATTAATAATGCATAAAAGATTAAAATGCTCTGTGGTTTAAACTCCCATCTCCCAATTGCTTACCCTTAGCTTCATAGTCCACTACTTTTCCTGTGAATGTGCTAACCACTTTTATTGGCATTTAAAAATAATTTGGACTCAATTTCCTTTGTAAGGAACTCCTCATACTTAGGAATTTTGTCCCTTTACAAGTTTATATAACTAGATGGGACAGCAAGTAATTTATGTTAACACAAGAGACTAATAAGAGCTAATGAAACAATGCCCAAATTAATAATTTCAATTTTTAAGTATTTTTTCTTTTTTTTTTTTTTCCCCTGAGATGGAGTTTTGCTCTTATGGCCCAGGCTGGAGTGCAATGGCACAACCTCGGCTCACTGCAACCTCCGCCTCCCAGGTTCAAGTAATTCTCCTGCCTCAGCCTCCCAAATAGCCGGGATTACAGGCGCCTGACACCATGCACAGCTAATTTTTGAATTTTTAGTAGAGATGGGGTTTCACCATGTTGGCTAGGCTGATCTCGAACTCCTGACCTCAGGTGATCCACCCACCTCGGCCACCCAAAGTGCTGAGATTACAGGCATCAGCCACAGTGCCAGGCCAGTATTTTCTATATAAAGCTTTATTTGCATATACTTAGAGTATCACAAATGAGTTTATCATAGAATTGAAACACTGACAATATTTTAATTACTGAATTCCTATGAATTAGCTGTTCTTCAGATTCAAATGCCAACACTAATTTGAACTTCTTTGGGTCTATGACAGTTTGCAAGCCATACAAACCCAAAGAGCTAATCTGTGATTTCTTAACTTGAGAAAATAATAATAATAACCACCACTGGAACCTACATAGGTTTGTTGATTATTTAACATGACTTAACCTTTTGTTTGTATTTTTTTGAAAAAAAAAAAAAAAAAAAAAAAAGGACTTTCTCTTTCTAAACCATAATTCTTAGTCCAAGAAGATGCAAAGTTTTTAAAAAGCACTATTCATGACCAATAATTTTATTGATCTAAATTAAAATGGAGAATGTTCACTATCCTCATGACTGGGAAATCTTACCTGTTGCTAGAAAGACACTGGCCAATTTTCTCCTGATTGTTCCGGAGTAGATGATGTAAAGCGAGCACATTGCCGTCACTGCTGAAGGAAAGGCTATGATTTACTGCATCACTTGTAGGACAATCAGATGCCATATCAAGAAAAAACATTAGAAAATGCAAAGTCACTAGAATTTTCAACACCAGAGACACACCATACTTATGTTTGAATTAAATTTATACGAAGTAACTTTGTGAAGCAACTGAGATGACAATTACAAATATGGAGGGCTTGTTCCCACAATGTGATTTGTCATTAGACAAAGTAAAAAGGACAAGGAGAAAGTTGGCTTTCCATTTCTGATACCTGGCTTCAGCTTCTGTAGTTAAAGAACAGCAAAATTGAGATGGATGAAACTTTGGAAAGAGGCTGGTATTTTACAGATAAGGAAATGAAGGTCCAGACAAAAGACCTCCCCAAAGATATATAGCCTGTTAGGTCAAAGCCAGTATTAAAACTTTGTTCCTTTTAACTTTCTTTGGGCCCTCAGTCTGCCAGAATATGAATCCTGTGCTGACATTCACTCTCTTTCCAACATGGCTTGTCATTCAGCAATATACCTTTTAAACTCCAATTTTCCTAAAAGAATAAAAGTCAGTAACAATTACAATGATGATAAACTGGAAGAGAGAGTTGTACAAGGCTAGCTTAGATGATAAGGATCAATTAGATTCACACTGCATGAAAAGCAGAATTCCAGACATAAATTTACAAAGCACTTTCTTATGAATTATCTCATTTTTTCTCTCTAAAAACAACTCAGGCAAAGAGTTTATCCCCACTTTACAGATAAACCAATAACTCAGAGAAATAAAGTGAAATAACTGGTTATGGAAATCCAGCAGAAAAGTTTTCTAAAATCATAAAGTTCAGTTACGCATGTACAAAATCTTACGTGTTTGCATTACTTGGTTTAAAGAATAACATTTTAGTTTAGATACACTTCCAAATTTAAGTATCACAAATATTCTGATACCAATAAAAACCTTATTAAACATTCTTATGCATTATCAATACCAATTTGGTTTTAGTTTTAAATAAAAGGAATCCTATTTCTTCCTTATCCCCATATTGTACCATCCTCAAATCCTTTATTTAACTAGACATGTCCAAAATGCCTCTTGGTTTTCAAATATGAAAATCACTACCAAATTATAAAAAATATTAATTTATTTCAAGACTGTCTTTTATAGTAAAATAAAATAAGGCAAGCTATGTCTTGACCTAGAGCAGGAAGAGAAAAAAACCTACACGGAACTTCATGTAAAACAGGTACATGGATTTATGTGAAACTGAAAATATTTGATTCAAACAGAGCAAGTGAATAAGTGGCAAGTAGCTTACCTTCAAGCTGCATCAAAGCTGCTTTTCACAAAATCATTGAAAGGCCGCATATGCTCTTCTTTTGTGAAGAGAACATGATTGGCAATACTCTGAAGTATTTACACAATAAAACAGGGTTATAAATAATCAGATTACTTATTGTATGAAGTTTATACATTAATATATTCTTTAAAAATATGAATTTTCTCGATATAATTTCTGCTAGTAGTTAAAATCAATCATTTCTCATTCTATATTTTAGGTAGTGTTTCTATTCTTCCTAATTATAATTATATTTACATGTACAAATACATATTAAAAATGTTTAATGTCTTAAAATAAAAAATCCTACAGCCTTCATTGTAGTCTGTTTCAGAATGTCTAGAATGATTACGCAAAAAATGATCCTCATGACACAAGACATCTGCTATAATAAAACGTATTCTCATGAAAATAAGGTCCATCAGGTACCTAACTAATGAATTCTTTTGTAATATAAACAAAATAAAAACACATAACTGAAAACCGTAGGGTATTTCCAATATAAATGTAAGAGGAAGTACTGTAAGAAAAGCTGAAAATTTAGTTGGAAGGGGAATTTAAGATAGCTAGATTATCAAAATAATTCACCTTTGACATTAACTTCAAGCCCCTTCCGATTCTAGGTGGTGGCTTTCTATCTAAAATCCCTGCTTCATACAGTGAGACAATGTCAGGATTCATAAATCTGAGGAACATGGCACTTCCTGCTGCACTGATACTGTTCTGAGGGAAACGTTGGCTAACCCCCTAAAAACAAGTTGAGACTTGAGTATAAGGTTTGAATTAAAATAGGGGCATGGGAACAAAGAGTTCAAAGGTCAAAATTTGCACAACTCTGAGTCAATCAGTCCTCATGAATGACACATTTCTATTTTTTCTTCTCCCAAAACATGAGAAAATAAAGTTTCCTCTCAATTCTAGTCTTGTATCATATTAAAGTACAATTTAGGTATCTCAGAGGAAAGAAAAACCTCATGGATGAGATGGGTAGAAGAAACCTGAAAACAGATCTTCACTGTATCATCACCTATACTGCAAGTTTGAGGAGTCATGAAAACAGACCAAATTTTCACACAAAGATGATCATAATTTATTAAGATTAACAGACATGAAAGTGTGGTCAACATTATAAGGTGAAACTAAATTTTCAACAACACACCCCCAAAACATCCTATACCTGATAGCACATATTTATGTTTTGTTGTGTACCAGTTACAACTGAATTGAAGAAAAAAATGCTTGCTATAAAAAAACAAAATCTTAGATTCCTATTGAGGAAAAAAAAACTTACTTACAAGTAATGTTATTGCCTGTTGCCAGCTTCCTTTATAACAACCTACCTATTATTTGAACCATGGAGGGATGGGAATTCTTGGGCACCTAAAAGAAAAAAGGATCTCAGCAGAACAGCGAACCCCTATGTCTACCTCAATGTATAATTCTGTCAAATAAAAATAATTTAAGAATTCAAGAAATGGTTGTCCAGCCTGAAAAGTAATGTGAACCCAATATTTAAAGTGGATTGATTTTCTCTTTATAAAACATTCTACATTAAGATAAAGTAAAAGGTACCTTAGACTGGGAAGAGTGCCATAAAATGGGTTCAGCCCCCATCCCTTCCCAGTGTCCCCTGCTTTAAATCATGTTATAGATGAAAATTATATTATTTTGGAATTTACATTTTTATATATACCATATATATTCATTTTTAAAGAACACAATGTAACATTTTAATCTCTACAGCTATTCTTGCTTAGTGTGGCTAACTGCTGTTTAAAGTAGCAGTGATTACAAAACTGTAGCATTCCACTCAATGTTTTGTGATTCCGAGGATAAACCTTCCTTTCAAAGGATATTGGTGTGGGGGACCCAGATTTACATGCAGAATATCACTTAACTATTTTTTGCACAATGCCTCAATAAATTAATATTTCCTGTCCTAAATTCACATGGCTGACTCCAGATTAACTCTGGAATCGGGATTATTTCACTTCATCCTGTTCAACGCAGTGCTTCATGAAGTCCACATTTTAAATGCATTCTTATCACTGCTTATAATCTCAAAATAGCTTTCTGTAATCTCTAATAGGAAGTTAGTAAAAATTAGATGTTAGAGAATAAAGTATTTGTAAGCGGTGAGGTGTAACAATATAGTCCCACCTTCAGTTACACTACACACAGTTCAGGAAGCTTTCTTTATGTTACAGTGTTTATTGCATGAAGAACAACCTTAACCCTTCAATAAGGGGAAACTGGTGAAGGTGGCTAAATATAGCTGCTTTATTAGAATGGCTTTAAAACCTAAATACCATTTATTTTTAGCTGAAATATATAAATTTAGAATTAGATATAGAAGTTTTAGCTAAAACTATAAAAAGATAAAGAATTAAGAAAAAATTTGAGTGCTTCGACTATTCCAGTATAGTGTTCAACCTTCTGGGGATGAGGAACCTCTTTGAAATCTGATAAAGGTTAGAAAAATGGATGTATGCTTTCACACAAATTTCTTCACATAATTTTAGAATATTCATAGACCATCACTGCTACTGAGTGGTTCTCTTAAAACTCCCAAATTTTAATCTCAAAACAGACAATTCTCTGGTTGGGCATGGTGGCTCACGCCTGTAATCCCAGCATTCTGGGAGACTGAGGCTGGTGGATCAATTGAGGTTAGGAGTTCCAGACCAGCCTGGCAAACATGGTGAAACTCCATCTCTACTAAAAATAGAAAAATTAGCTGGACGTGGTGGTGCACGCCTGTAATCTCAGCTACTTGGGAGGCTGAGGCACGAGAATCGCTTGAACCCAGGAGGTGGAGGTTGCGGTGAGCCATCGTGCCACTGCACTCCAGTCTGGGTGACAGAGCATGCAAGTGACTGTGTAAAGTGATATGTAAAGTCATGGAAAAAGGAAAGAGGCTTAACTAGTAACGGTCTGTGGAGGTAGAAGTCAAAGACATCCTTCTCCTGTCTGTCCCTGGATCTAAGGCAGATAAAAAGAAGGATAACTTAAAAAAAATTACAGATATCATTAAAGAAAAGCATATTTGTATATAACTTTTATAATTAAAAACAAATTTTAATGATCAAGAGGAGAAGTTATGAGGGCCTTGCTTCATGCAGTGTTAGCAAAAAAAAAAAAAGAGCACTTTTATGTGAAAAGATGATAAAACTGGTAGGATCCACTTCAAAGCTAACATGTTGCCCATCAGAGGATGTGATCTCAATTCGTAATAAAGCATCCAGGAGTTTTTATAGATAGGTAGCACCATATACCTATAGAAATGCATGAGTAGGACTTCATTATGCCTGCTCCATACATTTTACCTTAAAAGAAGACAATCAGCTCTGCACATTCTGTACATAATCATTACTTGACATACCTCAGCACACACACACACAAAATGAATGATACAAACCTTGAAACAGAGTGTCATTATTTTACTGGCCAAACTGTTGTCTCAGAGGAGAGTCTGAATGGAGTCAGTCTGCCAATTCTACTTCTTTACAAAACATGTTCCAGAGCAGTTGGTAGAGTAAATGCCAAGAACCAAATAGAGTAACCAGAACTCAAGCCAGTTCATCCTGAGAACAAAACAAAATCAGGTTAGTGCATTTTTGTTCTCAGGTAGATAGCTGAAGAGTGGCAAAATCATAAACCCAAAGTTGACAACTACTTGCTAAATTAAGGCAAAGGTGACTGATTAATATTTCTCCTGAGATTTATCTGCGTATATTGTTTATGATAGATGACTATATACGATGTCTACGATAGCTGTTAATTCCAAGGATTAACCGGTGAAAGCTATTAAGAGAGGCCTAGGCTTTACCAGGAGACAAAATCTCCAAGATTCAGTTCAAATTACATCACAAAATGAAAGAGAACAGAAACAGAAGATGACAGCAAATACTTTAGTTTGATTTGTACAAGCATTTGCACAGAGCAGAAATAAGACTGATGATCAGAAGAGTTCTACTCTCTTCTCATACAGTCAGGGGAACTCAGTGAATGCTGAACATAGACTAGGTAGAGACATGACAAAAACAGAAAGACTATAGGATTTTTGAGAAATCAGGAAGAAAAGGAACTGGGCGTTCAGAACCCAGAGATCAGCCAGATTTACATACAAAGCAAGGGGGACAGGGATGAGGGCTGAAATTCCAATTACCTAAATGACATCCTTGTAACTCCCTGTAGTAAAGCAGTTTGGGGTACACTCAAGAAAAATGATCTACTGGTAAATCACTGTTTAATCACAAGAAGAAATTTATAGAGAATAGGGGTAGCCATAAAAAGATGCCTCAATCCTCAAGCAGTAACAACAACGGCCAGGATCATGGCCCATAGCTCTCTAATTCTTGCCTGGTCCCAGGATTACAATAATGTGATAGGTGAGATCTGGCCTAATAGAAAATTCCTTCTCAAAGTCATTTAATATAAAACTCAACAACAAATTAAAGCTACTTGAATTTAACTGATTCTTTATTTAAAAAATTACTGAGTATTTTCAGTGCTAATCATAGGTAGATCCTAATAAGATAATTCACAATAGTCATTTTCAAAACATTTGAACGTTTGTGAAGTAATTTTAGGCTTTAGGAAGATTTCAATGATTTGGCGCTGTTGCTAATCAATCAGTATAAAATTTCAGTTATACAAGGTAAGTTCTAGAGATCTGTGGTGCAGCATTCTGCCTACAGATAGCAATACTGTATTCTACACTTAAAAATATGTTAGAGGGTAGATCTCATGCTAGGCGTTCTCACCAAAATAAAATACCAGAGGAGAAGCATTTCAGGTGGTAGCAGCAGCAAGGGTGCTTAAGGCAGAAACAAGTCTAACAAGGAGGGACAGAAAGGTAGCTGGTGTGGCTTTGGTGAACAAGAAGGAAAATGGCATAAGATGATGTTAGAGATGAGGCAGGGCCCAAATCAGGTGGAGCCTTGTAGGACAGGATAAGGAGTTTGAATTTTACTTTAAGTACAGGTGTAACAAATATCCTACAGCTTTAAGCAGAAACAAATCTACAATGACAGATTACCTTATTAGTTATACTTTACTATAAGTGAAACCATTTTTGGTACACTAAAAAGGAAATAGCCTTTTAACACTGGAAAGGAACCACCACCCTTCTCAACGTTTTCACATGTATTAGGAATGATGTGATTTGAGGAAAATTTTTCATTAAATTAAGAGAGAGACCTAATAGCCATATGATGTTTTCAGTGTTTAAAACAAACAATATCATAATATCAAATGCAAATACAGTGCTTACATTTTTAAAAATTGTGTAAGATATTATGGGGAAAAGAACAGCAAACTGGAGGTAGTAAACAGGCACAAATCGTGGATTCCAATTCCAGCGTTGCAACAACTGACTGAAATTAGGTTTAACTTAATTACCTTCTCAAATATATGAAGACAGCGGAGTAGATCAGTGATTTTTAATCAGTGTTTAAATGGAATTTTTCAGTGGGATGAAATGATATAGGACACTATTCAGGTCTAGCAGTGCCAACCACTTCCCTACAGCTGAAAAGTCACCTAACTAAACATCTAAGATTTCTTCTGGCTCTAAAATTTTATCAATTCATTCAACAAACATTTATTGAACAAATATGTTCTGAAGGATTTGCTATGTGCCAGGCACTTTTCTTCCCCACTTACTCTATGCACTTACCCACTGAGAACAAGGAACCACACTGGCCAGAGCCATCGCTATAGGGAGCTCTCCTTGATCACCCATCACTGTGACCAGTTCCACCAATTGCTCAAACCCATCAGCCAATACCGTTTCTGAAGTGTGTCAAATTCTGTGCCTTGTTGAGGGATTTTCATCAGAACTTCCATAAATGTAGCTGTCTGGAGATCCTTGTAGTACCCTAAACCTGATGTGGACAAATGGATGCAAATTTACTAACATGGCCTTACTGAAGTAATTTTTGCTTATCTTACAAGCCAGTTCTCTAGGCTGTGTATTTCTATATGAAACTTTCATTTGATCTCACCTATGGAGTGCATGAGACCACCGTCTATGCTGGCACTAAGTAAGTTTGACATTGCAAGGACTGCACAGTGCCTCCGTGATGCCAACCTCCGAGACATGCCACGTTTCCTGCCACCTGTTTGTGCACTTTCATCTTCAGCTTCACTGCAGTCACTCAAAAGGTTCATAAATAGTGTGAAGTATCTGAGAAATAAAAAGACTGACCTTTACATAGCAAAGGCCGTATCAACTAGAAAGCTAACCAGACATTCCAAAACTATCACATGTGCACGGTGTGACTGGCCCTGGATTAACTGCTTCTCTCCTCTCTCAGGATAATCAGCCAGGGTGACTCATTATGAAGCATGCTGTGTTGGGCATGATTATACCTGATATAGCCTAGCATACCTTTCATAACATAAGCATCAAATAGATGCAATGTTTCCTGGTAAATGTGTCATTTTTAATGTTTAGTATATAAAATTAGTGGTCCAAACAGCTTACACAATGTCACTTTTGTAAATGACTTAGTGAAGCAATCTGGGTTTTATTACAAGCAAAATTTCAGGGATCATATTATTTTCTTTAAAAATCATAAAACACAGTTATTTTCCTAATCCTAGTCCTGCATGGGGAACATTTCTTTGTTTTCTTTTTTGTTTTTTTGTTTTTGTTTTGTTTTGTCTTTGAGAGTGTGTGTGTGTGTGTGTGTGTGTGTGTGTGTGTGGCGGCGGGGGGCTTTATTTGCTTTTGCTTTGTGTTTTTTGGTGACTGAAATTTACTTAAGAAATAACTGTGTCCCCTTTGGCTTCCATCAATTCCACACCATCTCCTTCCTCAGGCTGCACAGGGAGACCAGCTAGAAGTGAAACTACTGCTTCCATGCTTGCCTGGTCCAAATCTCTGAAAAAAAAAAATTAGAGACCATAAATCTTTCAGGTTATTTCACTTCCTCTCAAATAAACCTCTTATTAACAGATATAAACTTTAGGAACTACCTGTTTCATTAAACAAATTATTAGCACAACCCAAATAATTTGAATTAATATGCAGATCCTAGAATACAAAATCATCTCAAATGAGGAGAAGACAATAGTAACTTTCTACAAAGTAATCTTGGCAAAATGACTATCTTCAATCAGAAGCATGTACAATTGGCCCTCTGTCTCAGCGAGTTCTGTATCCACGGATTCAACCAACCATGGATTGAAACTATTTGGGGGAAAAAAAAGTAGGGTTTCATCTGTACTCAACATGTAAAGATTTTTCTTTGTTGTTATTCCCTAAACAATATGGTATAACAACTTGTGTTTATATAAGATTTATATTTATTAGATATTATAAGTAATCTAATGATAATTTAAAATATATGGGAAGATGTGCATAGTTTATATGCAAATACTATGACATTTTGTATCAGGGACTTCAGTCTGTGGATTTTAGTGTTCATGGAAGTGAGATGTGGGCAGGAGTTTGGGGGGTGGTTCCTGGAACCAATTCCTGACAGATACTGAGAGACGACCATATTATAAAGCTAGGCTTGGTCAAAGAAACATATGTAAAGGCTTATTATACAGTCCATAGTGTTTAATCACTTTCTGATATGTGTCAATAAGCATTTATCATTAAAGCAGACTTAATTACACTTAATTACTTCCTTTTTTTTCTGTCTCTGGTGCCTGAATCAGGAAATCAATTATTTTTTAGAAAGACCAACACAATGAGTTCCTCAAATAATACCTTTTTCTATCTAATCATAACATAAATGCAATCTGAGGCTTTATGTACCTTATTTCCCAATAACGGTAGACTATTCTTCATAAACTGACAACACTAACTTCCCAAACATACCGCTCTCGCACATTTATTTTTACAGAAAGTCTATCAGTCAAAAAAAAGTAGTAATAAAGATTAGTATCTTTACATATTTCAACCACAAAAGTTTGACATCTAAAAAATTTAAATACACATAAAATACAAGTATAAAGCTGTAATGAAGTAATTATAATTCTTACAGGAAAACCCACTAATACTTGAAGGTCATTCTCTTTTTTACCTTGTAATACATTTTACATCATCATCTGCTGCTTGGTTTGATGTTCCCATAACCCAGACTGTCAGGTATTCTACAATCTTATTCCTAAAGAATGGCGGAGAAAAGAGAAACAGCCAACAATTTTTTTGAAGCCACACACACACACACCTTTAATTGTGTAAGATTTCTTACAGTGCAAATAATTTGGCAGATAACCCAGGTGACATGACGACTTTATAAAAGAGATACTGATGTCACAGACGTAAAAGCCAGAAGGGAACAAGCAACGTGGATATTTAACCTCCAACATGGCCCTTATTTATGGTATCAAATTGGAAACAGAATCAAATTCTTAGCTCAAGTACAGCACAGTTTTAGAAAAAGGGAGGCTTGCCACAGGCACAAAGCTTACGGAAATTTGAGGAGAGACGTAGAGAAACACAAACGTGTAAATTGCTCTCTTTTTATGTCTTCCTTCCTACCAATAACCAGATATCTACTCTATTTCTGTACTTCATTCAACAAATTAAGATTTACAAGACCCTACATTGCTCTTTTGAGAACTCACCTAAATTTCATCTCTTGGCAAAATAAGAGGTCATCTCTCCTTGCCATCGTTACTTCAACCAACTGACACAGTTTCGTTTTTATTTGAATTGCATGGACCATATTCCCAAGCACACGAACATACCTATACAGACACAGAGACGATAAAAAAATTATCAGATATAGACAAAAGAGAAAGCATTCAAAGTACTTTAGTCATCAAATAAAATGAACTACATGTAAGTCTGAAAACAATATTTATTTTTATGAGAACATACACACCTTCTGGTTACCTGACTGTCACACCCTAGTTTGTGTGCAGTAAAGAATGGCAAATTATTTTATCAATTACTACCAATATCAATGTGTAAGAGGTTTTTCTGATCTCTTAAAGTATGTTTCTGCTACATTTCAGTAGAACGCTTACCTGACCAGATATAACATCATTGGTTCAATGCTAGCTTGCCCTAGATGTTCAGAGCTGCCTTCAGTATGATTATCTAGCAAGTTCTTCATTATAGCTATGGTTTGCTCTACAAATTGAGTGTTGGTATCCGTCAATAAAACCTATAGAAAGAACAAATATATTAATCATTTGCCATCAATGCCCAGAAGACAGACCTCTAGAGAGATGCAACCGACTGATCTAAACACACAAACACAGAAGTGCACCCACAGGCACACAGCCAAACAAGCATACAGATACATGCAGACACTCATACCCATACACAAGGCAGGTATACCCTCAGGCACACATACACACCAGAGTTCCTAAGAAGCAAGCTGACCCCTACATTGAGATGACTCTTCTTTCTGCAATTTTTTGGCAATTTTTAAAAACTGTGAGCACCTAATTTAAATAATTGGAAAGAAAAAGCCTTCCTTATTTCAAACAAGGTGAAAAATAAAAAAGAGCACACTTTACCTGTCCTTGGGAGTCAAAAAACTTGCTGATGGCATTCTTCAGTTTGTTAAATAGCATCAGATAAAGAGCAGGACTCAATTCTAGACCCACCAGGTCCTTAACATTGGCCCGTATTTGAAGTCCCACTTTCTCATGGTTACACACCATTAAGGACAACAGCTGATCCATACATTTGCTGACAGGTGTACCTGCGTTTCCCTCTGAGGACATCACTGAAATCATGGAACCCTGACATTCACTGACTGGACCCATGGGTGGGCTATAGGTTGCCAGGCCAGAATTACTTCTCTGCTGGAGGCACACTCCCCCAAGGGCACAAAGGAAGCCAGTCATGTTGATCCATTCCTGTAGGGAGTCTGTGTCAGACAAATCTGCGCGTCCTCCTCCACTCAGATGGGACATTCGACTCCTAACAATGGTCATGTGAAACTTTCAGCAGCCTAAACACAAAATTTTTGGGCAAAGCATGAATTAAACCTACATTAGTTGAGACTTGACAAATTACTCTTTATCCAACATTTCTTCCATGACAAAAGTACAAAAAATGTAAAAAACACATTAAAATCAACCCCAAAAATTACCATATACATTTTTAAAGAGCCACTGATTTATTTTTGTCATACACTAATATAATCGCCCAAGTATCAAATTTCTTTTAAAAAGCTTTGATTTCACATGGATGAACCTTGGAAACGTTATGCTAAGTGAAAGAAGCTAATCACAAAAGCCCACATATTCTAAAATTCCATTTACAGAAAAGATCCAGCAGAGACAAATCTGCAGAGACAGAAAGTAGATTCAAGGTTGCCTAGGGCTGGAGAAGCCGGGGGAAGAGAGACAAGAAAGTGGCGGGGAGGTGGGGTAGGGTGTTAGAGGCAGAAATAGCTAAAGGATACAGGGGTTTTTTTCCTCAACTGATGAAATTGTTCTAAAACGGACTGTGGTAATGGTTGCACAACTCTGGGAATATACTAAAAACAGCCACTGAATTGGACACTTTAAATGGGTGAATTGTATGGTATATTAAACAGTTATCCCCCCAAAAACTTTCATTCTAAAGCTACATGTCCCCTCCAAATAAAGCTATTAGGTACACAATTTTGCTTCATAAAAACATAACATTTTTCTTATTGTAATTAAGTATGACAGAAAAAAACATGGGGGAATAACCAGTTTATATAAATTGCCTAATAATGGGAGGAATATGAACATTACAAATCAATTACACACAAACACCAACTCATCAATTTCCAGAGTAACAGATAATATAGTCAATAGTAATAGTTGAATGAACTGTCCACATTTTAAAATCTCATTTAATCTATGGGTTCAATCTTTTGCCCAAGACATTCCTTAATTAGAATACTTAACAAAATAGCAAAATGAATTGTTTCCATGTTTTTTTTCTCTACCTCTGTTGCTCCTTTTCTGAAAATTCTGTGAAACACCCTGATGAAGGGATAAAGAGCAAGAAAAGGTCTCTGCAACAGTCTCTAGCAGTGCTGCCCAGTATTTCTGTGATGATGGAAACATTTTCTCTCTCTGCTGTCCAGACTGTCATATGTGGCTACTGGGTACTTGCAATGTGGCTACTATATGATTGAGGAACTAAATTGTATTTAATTTTCATTATGTTAAAATTTAAATAGTCACACGTAGCTAGTGGCTACCATATTACGAAGTACAGGTCTAGATAAACCACAACTAAATATCAGTCTTCAGACAACTATATGCTTACTTTACTGAGTGACTCGTGAGAGATTACCAAAGAGAAGGACATATATTTAGCAGATCAGTTAATAGACAAAAGTCAACTTTACAGACTTACCTGGCTGTCATCCATTTTGGCTTTTGGATAGTTAAAGATTAGTTTTGTTGCTTGTTCCCATTTTGCATGTGTATCTTCCCAAGCCTAAAATGAAGGCAATTATCACTTGAAAGCAACTTTAAGTCTAGAGCTAAACGTCAATCAGCAATGGCCAAGTTTCAAACTTGATGTATAATAAGTACTCAGATATTACACTTCTAACACGCACATATCTTGGATTTACTTCAAAAGCTATTCCTGATTACACATATGTAACAATAGGTTTCCAAAATTGAGGGTGGGCGCCTAGGAGGGGTGTTTCTCTTGCTAAGAGCACACCTCAGTGTTTCCTGCAGTGGGATGCTAAGTGCGCCTCCGCAGTGCCATCACTCTTTCTGAAGTGCTGCTGTTCCTAAGCAAATACAACAGCCAATCAAGTCACTGCACTTAGAGCCCTGCCTGCCCATGGAGAACCTCATAAGCCCTACCCAAAAGGCAGAGTAGGAGGAGCAGAGCAAATGCCTCAAATGATAAAGCCAAAAACTTCCTTTCACTAACCTCACAGGAAAGGTACTTATCTTAAACTCTACAATGTCCACAGCACAAAATAGCTATTCCCACCTATAATTTACTCAAAACATATGCCAATGTGCATAAAACTTCACTATCTACAACTTAGGTGGGGTAAATTATATGATCACAACTGATAGTAACATATACTGCCAGTTATTTTTAAAACATATAGCATATTAAAAACTCACTGGGAGACTATTTCAAATGCTTTTTCTTTTCATCTTTGTTTCATTTCTTTGTTCAGAAAAGGATTTCAAGTAAGCTACTTGAATCTCCCCTGTAAACTTACAAAGTAGTAACCTTAAATACATTCTCACAATTAGATGCCACGTGCTTCAGGCAGGTTGAGTAAAAAAACCACTATTCACATTTACCTGTTGACATCACATTGCTGACAGAGGCAAACTCCATGAATGTGCTACAGTTGGGCAAGAGGTGATGCACTGACACTTCATCCACCCCACACCAGGTATCTGCTTCCTCACAGAGGTGGCGGAAACAGGACATGGCAACCAGAACAGCTTCACTGTCAGGGTTCCACAGAAACATGTACAGCGCCACACTTCTAGTTTGGTCTGCCCTTGTTGGCAAATCGGGGAAGGGGGGGCGGGGGCGGTTGCGCTTCATCCTGCTGCACTATCCTGAGAGTCAAAGTTGTAAGACATATATTTGCAACTTGGGTAATTTTATGTATAAAACCCAACAATGCAATAAACTGCGTGTGTGTGTGTGTGTGTGTGTGTGTGTGTCTCAGCATACAATAACTCACAAGAGTTTTCTCCTTTAATCATCACAGGAATTTTTCAAACCCTCAAATATCTTGTCCAAATGAGAAATGAGATTATCTGGACCAACATAAAGCTACTCTCTGTCCAATTTCAAATCAAATAGGTATTATCCTATTCCAGATTCCAGAAACATAAACTGATTCTAACATAAACAGGTAAAACACTGTAACATAAATCTGCTGCAGTAATGATATAATGTACTTACCAGTCAATTAGAAATGACAAAAAAAGAAGTAGGCCGGGCATGGTGGCTCATGCCTGTAATCCTAGCACTTTGGGAGGCCGAGGTGGGCGGATCACGAGGTTGGGAGATCGAGACCATCCTGGGCTAACATGGTGAAACCCCGTCTCTACTAAAAACATAAAAAAACAATTAGCCGGCCGTGGTGGCGGGCACCTGTAGTCCCAGTTACTCAGGAGAGGCTGAGTCAGGAGAATGGTGTGAACCTGGGAGGCGGAACTTGCAGTGAGCGGAGATCGCGCCACTGCACTCCAGCCTGGGCGACAGAGTAAGACTCTGTCTCAAAAAAAAAAAAAAAAAAAAAAGAAAGCCTAGGTTTTAAAGACCAATAAAATAGTAAACGTGAACGAGGAAAAAAAGAAATGAGGAAACAGTTACAAACATAGATACTGAAGGTAATTATATGATAATATAGAAATAAAATACAGCCTTTAATTGTACAAGTAAAATATATAAATATTATATACAACTCTGCACTGATAAAATTGAAAAACATGTTTTGTAGGAAAGAACAAACCATGAAAAGTGACTTTAAAAATAATAGAAATTCTTCAAAAAATTAAAAATAGAATAACCATATGATCCAGCAATTCCGCTTCTGGATGTATATTCGGAAGAATGAAAGCAGGGCCTTGAAGTTACTGGCACACCCATGTTCACAGTAGCATTATTTATAATAGTCAAAAGGTGGAAACAACCGAAAAATCCATTGGCAGATACATTTAGATCAACAAAATGTTGGTATATACATACGATATCATTCAGCTTTCAAGAGGAAGGAAATCCTGACATGCTACAACAAGATGAACACTATTTCAGCCATAAAGAATGAAATCCTGCCTTTCAAGGCAACATGAATGGAACTGGAGGACATTATGCTAAGTAAAATAAGCCCATGTCAAAAAGACAAATACTGTATGATTCCACTTATGTGACATAGTGAAATTCAGAGAGACAGAAAGTAGAAGGATGGTTGCAGGAGTTGCAGGTAGGAAAGAATGGAGAGCAGTTGAATAGACACAGAATTTGTTTTGCACGATGAAAAGGTTTTGGAGATTGGTTGCACAACAATGTGAAAGATAGTGCTACTAAACTGTGTACTTAAAAATGGCTAAGATGGTAAATTTTATGTTATATGTATTCTACCGCATAAAAAATTTTAAAGAGAGACAGAAAAACTACATAGATCCATAAGGCAGCTCAAATAAAAGGATTAAAGAGTTATTTTAAGTAGACAATAGATAAGCTAGTTCTAGAAACAGCATAAGAAACCAGTAGCAGTACTTGACTTAGGAAGAAAAGTATAAATTGAAGGTCAAGAGGGAGTAGGAAGCTTACTTTTCCACTGAATTCCCTTCCTGATGTATAGTGAAAATTTCCATTATGTCAATTTATTTTTTTCTTTAAAACTAAAAGCAAAAGTCAAAGGAAATCTTAAGAGCTTCTAAACTTGATGATTTTACAATGAATTTCTATCTAATCAGATAATTTCTATTACTTAAATTATTCCAGACCATAGAAAAGAGTAATAGTTCCCAAATTCATATTCTAATTTAGCACAAATAAGTGTTAGAATAACTACTTTCAAAAGTGATAATGCATATTATGTTAAATATACACATGTTCTAAGAATCAGAAAGCTGAAACACTGGAAGGAAATGTTTCATTAAGTAGCTACCCAGTACATTTGCCAATAGCCAACCAAATTTACCTCACGCACACACACAAATCAACATACTAAAAGTAAGGATTTCCAAACATATTTCCACTCCAAATTTAAAGTGAAAGTTTAAATAACATATAAACCATCTGACTGGATACAATTCAGCCCTAAAGCTAGAGTTCAGGGCCCCTTATCTTTTGTTCATTATTAATTTTAAAATTTTTGATGTATTTATTAGTATTTATGAATAACATAGTAACATTCCCATAGATTTGCAGAGATCAAATCGAGGTAATTAGCATATCCATAATCTCATTTATCATTTCTTTGTGCTGGGAACATTCAACATCCTCCTCCTAACTCTTTGAAACTGTGTAACATATTGTTGTTAATTACAGTCATCTTACAGTGCTATACAACACTAGAACTTGCTCTTCCTATCTAGCTGTAATTTTGAAACCTTTAACAAATTGCTTTCTACCATCCCTGCACCCTATGCTTCCCAGCCTGTAGTATTCTGTTCTACTTTTTACCTCTATGAGATCAACGTTTTTTTAGCTTCCACAAATGAATGAGAACACACAGTACTTAATGTTCTGTCCCTGGCTTACTTCACTTAATATGATGTCCTCCAGTTCAATCCATGTGCCTCAAACTACAGGATTTCATTCTTGCTTATGGCTAAATAGTATTCCATTGTGTATGTATACCATATTTTCTTTATGCATTCATCTGTTGTTAGATACTTAGGATGATTCCATATCTTGGCTATTGTGAATAGTGCTGCAATAAACACGGGGGTGCCGATGTCTCGTCAATATACTGATTTCCTTTTCTTTGGATAAATGTCCAATAATATATTGTTGGACCATATAATAGTTCTATTTGCAGTTTTTTGAGGAACCTCCACACTGTTCTCCATGGTGGCTGTACTAGTTTACATTTCCACTAGCCCCATTTAAGTGTTCACTTTTCTCCACATCTTTGCCAGCATTTGCTATTTTTTGTCTTTTTGATAGTAGCCATTCTAAGTGGGGTGAGATGACACCTCATTGTGGTTTTGATTTGCATTTCCCTGATGACTAGTGATGTTGAGCTTTTTAGGAAAACATATTTGTTGGTCATGTGTCTGTCATCTTTTAAGAAATATCTATTCAGGTCATTTGCCCATTTTTCAGTTGGATTCTTTTTTTTTTTTTTTTTTTGCTATTGAGATGTCAAGAGTTCCTTGTATATTCTGGATATTAATCCTCTGCTGGATACATACTTTGCAAATATTTTCTCCCATTCTGTAGGTTGTCTTTTCACTCTGCCAATTTCTTCCTTTGAATTAATATTAATTTTTTAAAGAAAAGTATCTTAAACGCTTGACAATATGGAATTAAAAATACAGTACCTTCAAGCTGGGTGCGGTGGTGCATGCTTATAGCTGCAGCTATCTGAAGGCTGAGGCAGAAGAGGATCGCGTAAGTCCAGAAGTTTGAGACCAGCCTGGGCAACATAACAGCAAGACTCAGTCTCTTTTTAAAAAATGGTATATTCAATTTGGGGAACATGCTACAAATCCTCAAAAAACGGGTACAGAAGAAACATACTGCAACACAATAAAAACCACATGAGAGACCCCCACAGCTAGAATCATATGGAATGGGGAAAAATGGAAAGCTTTTCCTCTAAGATCTGGAACATGATAAGGATGCCCACTGTCACCACTGTTATTTAACATAGTACTGGAAACCCTAGCTAAAGCAATCAGTGCAGCCCCTGATATGGCCCCCAACCCACCCTGCCCCCTTGCAACCAGCAGTGTAGCCCCCCCGCAATAGCGCACCCAACACACCCAAACCGCCCCGCCTCCCCGAACCACGGGCATTGCAGCACCCCATAGCACCCTCAACCTGAAACCACCACCCCCCCGCAACAGCCGTGCAGTGCAGCCCTGGATAGGACACTTAGCCCACCTCACTGTTGCCAGCAATACAGTCTGGGATAGTTTCCCCAACAGGCTCCCCGCCGGGGGCAGTGCAGCCCCGGTTAGGGCCCCCAAACCACCCCCGGGTGCAGGCAGCACAGCCCCAGATAGCACACCTAACCAGCCACCCAAGGTGGGCAGTGACGCCTGAGATAGGGCCCCCAACCCGTCCCAGGCCAAGGGCAGTGCAGCCCTGGATAGCGCACTTACCCCGACGCTTTTCTACACTCTGGCCGGTTGCAGTGTCCATCGCTGCCACCAACCGCAGCGGGCAAGGCAAGCCAGCGAGGCAAGGCGAGGCAAGCCGGCGAGGTGGTGAGCCAGGGAGGCCAGCCACAGCCCGGTAGGCTGCAGCCTCCAGCATGCAGTGGCTGGCACCTCCTACTCCAAGCTGGCAATGGAGCAGCTATGAAGTCAGATGCCGACGAGGCTGGAATAGTGCAACTCTAGCTCTTAACATGCTTTATATACCGAGATTATAAACTACATGTTCTGATTGGATGAGAGGAAAACACTAGGCCTACTCTGATTGGACTTTATTGTCACGTTCTGATTGGTTAGCCTAAGACTTGTTCTGATCCAATCAGAACATGAAAATAACGTCCAATCAGAGTAGGCGTAGATGTTTCTCTCATCCAATCAGAACGTGAAGTCCGAGAACCAGGCCTGCACAACCCCCCAGTATATAAGGTATGCTAAGGGGGCGTCGCGCTGTTGCAGGCTATCGTGTGTTAACCTGTACTTCTGCCGCAGAGTTTGGAGAAAGCGGCAGCAGATTGTGCTGCCGCAGGCTGGAGCCTGGAACCTGGAGCCCTGGAGCCTTGAATGGTGTGTGGTGGCAATGGAGAGAGGCAGCTGGCAGTGACAGCTGCTCCGTGCTTGGCTACAGGAAGGAAAGAAGGAGAAAGCACCTACCATAGGCTGGAGGCTAGAGCCTGCAGGACTGCGGCTGGCCTCGCTGGCTCGCCTCCCTGGCTGGCCTCGCTGTGGTTGGTGGCAGCGACGGATACTGCAGCTGGCCAGAGTGTAGAAAGGCAATGGGGTAGGTAAGCTATCCAGGGCTGCCCGCGGCGGGGGCTGGTTGGGGTATTATTCCAGGTGTCACTACTTTGGGTGTACTAGAGTGTTATTTTGGGCGTCACTGCTTTTAGGTGTGCTATCCGGGGCTGCACTGCCCTCAGCAGCGGGTGGGGGGGGGGTTGGTGGGGGGCGGGTTGGGGTCACTATCTTGGGCTGTATTGATGGCAGCAGTAGGGCTGGTTGGGGGCGCTATTGGGTGCTGCACTGCCCGCGACAGGGGCCGGGTTGGGGCTGCTATTGTGGTTGCACTGCCGGCGGCATGGTGGTGGGAGGGCTGGTTAGGGTGCGGACTGGTGGGGGTGCTTACTGGTCGGGCTTCATTGCCGACAGCGGGGTGGGGATGCTATCTGGGGCTGCACTGCCCATGGTGGGGGCTTGTTGGGGGCGCTATGTGGGGTTGCAATGTCCATGGCAGGGGAGAGGTTAGAGGCAGTATCAGGTGCTACACTGCTGGTGGTGGGGCGGGGCAGCGGTGGGTGCGGGTAGGTGCTTGGAGGGTGCGGTTTCGGGCGCTATCGGGCCAGACTGCCCATGATAGAGGGCAGGTTTGGGTGCGCTACTAGGGGATACACTCCTCACAGCAAGGGGCGGTTTGGGGGTGATACCCGGCCGGTGGCAGGCGGGGTGGTGGGGTGGGTTGTGGGCACCGTTCGGGGGCTGCACTGTGGTCAGTGGCGGTGGGGCGAGTTAGGTGCTCTATCAGCTGCTGCACTGTTTGTGGTGGGGGCTGGGTTGGTGTGCTATCGGGGACCATATTTTTGGCAGCGGTATACAGGTTAGGGGTGCTGTCGGAGGCTGCACTGCCCATGGCGGGGTGCGGGTGGGGTGCACTATCCAGGGCATCATTCCCCCTGGGTGGGGGACAGTTGGGGGTGCTATCTGCTATGTAGGGCTGCACTGCTCGTCGTGGGGAGGGGGTTGGGGACCTTAAGGATCCATGGCTGCACTATTGACGGCATGGAGCAGGTGGCCGTGCTCTCCGGGGCATCACTGCCCGCAGCCGGGGGTTAGTTGGAGGTCCTATCGGTGGCTGCATGGCCGACGGCAGACGGTAGGATGGGGGAGTTATCTGGTGCTGCGACGTCCGAGGCAGGGATGGGTTGGGGGCGCTATTGGGTTTTACATTGCAGCGGCGAGGGGCGGTGTTGGGGGCGCTATCCCAGAGCCAACATCAGGCAGCGGATTAGGGGCGCCATCAGGGGCTGCCTTGCTGGTGGCGGCAGAGCTTGCAGCAACAGGGTCTCCAAGGAAGGAGCCTTCTTCCTCTTTCTGGATTTCAGACTCTAAAAGGCGATCTCCTCCTGCTCCTGCTAGAGCGCAGCGAGCGCACGGCGTTTCCGCAGTAATCCTGAGCACGGCAAGGACCCCTTACCCGCCGGGGTTCCCGGGGCCATGCCCTTTTCGCTCTGTGTTGCGGAGACCACCTGGCACCCCTAGGCACGCTGGACACGGAGTGGCGGGGACACCACGGGGAGACAGGGCTCTGTGGGTGGAGGCATTGGGATGGGGAACCGGCATTTGGGTGGGAGGGCTGGCTGTGTCTGAGTTCCTGCTGATTTTGTTCCCCAAGGAGCGCAGTCCTGGTGGGCCCAGCGGTTCCTGTGGATTGGAGCCAGGCAGTGTGATGTTACCAGTCACCACTCCAGGTCCCAGTTCCTGGCCCGCTTGAGCCAAAAGGAGAGGCTGGACTTTGGAGGGTGGATATGAGTGCCTTCACTGAGACTGGCCCCTGCCACCCAGTGGCCAGGATGACAAGGTGAGGCTCTAACGCTATCAGTCTCTGCATTCTCCTCTAGGCTTTTTTGGCTGTGTGTGTCCAGCTGTTCCATGCCAGGAGGAGGAGGAGTTACATGCTGGAAGCTTGCAGATAGCCTGGGGCTGCTGCTCGCCTTGCTGCGGTTGGTGGCAGCTACCGAGACTACCTCGCACCAGAGCGGTAGGAGGACGGCCAGCTGTGGCCATGGCAGGGGCAGGGCTGCGGCGGTGGCCAGGTAGTAGGAGCTTTGTAGGGTGGGCCAGTGCATTGAGGGCAACAGCAGCGATGGTTATAGTGACATCTGCGCTAGTTGTGGCAGCAGCCGCAAGTCCAGGGGCCGGGAAGAGGGAGTAGGAGAGCTGCGGGGCCTGCCCGGCCAGGCCTAGGGTGGGTAGGAAGCTTCGGGTGCTGTACCACAGGCCTCGGTGGAAGTGGTGGAGGAACAGCCAGGGCAAGGAGGAGTTCTCCCCCTTCTCCTGCAGTCTCTGGAGGGCGACCTCCTCCTACTGGCGCATGAGCCCGGTGTGAGTGTCAGCATATTATCTCACTCTTTCTTCCAATATAATACAGTCATGCACTGCATAACAAGGTTTCACCAGTGATGGCCTGCATGTATCAGGGTAGTTCTATAAAATTATAATGAAACTGAAAAATCCTCATTGTCTACTGACAGCATAGCCGTCTTAACCTTGTAATACAACGCAATACTCACGTGTTTGTAGTGATGATGGCGTAAACAAACCTACTGAGCTCCTGGTTCTATGAAAGTATAGCGCATATAGGCCAGGCGTGGTGATTCACACCTGTAATCCCAGCACTTCGGGGGGCCAAGGCGGGCAGATCACGAGGTCAGGAGATCGACACCATCCTGGCTAACACGGTGAAACCCCGTTTCTACTAAAAATAGAAAAAATTAGCTAGGGGTGGTGGCAGGCCCCTGTAGTCCCAGCTACTCGGGAGGCTGAGGCAGGAGAATGGGGTGAACCCGGAAGGTGGAGCTTGCAGTGAGCCGAGATCGCGCCACTGCACTCGAGACTTGGCGACAGAGCGAGACTCTGTCTCAAAAAAAAAAAAAAAGTATAGCACATTTAAGTATACATAGTACATAAAAGTTGATAATGAACAACTATGTTACTGGTTTATGTGTTTAGTATACTATGATTTTTGACATTATTTTAGAATGCATTCCTTCTACTTACAAACAAAAAAGTTAACTAAAATAGCCTGAGGCAGGTCCTTCAGGAGCTGTTTCAGAAGAAGGCATTGTTACCATGGGAGATGACAGCTCCATGTGTGGTATTGCTTCGGAAGACCTTCCAGTGGGACGAGATGTGGAGATGGAAGACTGATGTTGATGATCCTGACCCAGTGTAGGCCTAGGCTAGTGTGTGTGTATTTGTGTGTTAGCTTTTACCAAAACGAAGTTTAAGAAATCTGTATGCTTATTTTTTGTTCTGAATACTTACCAAGATACAACTTACAGAGAGGAAGCATCGAGGCACCTGAGTGTATCTTTTTAACGCTGACATTATCATTGAGAAAAAAATTAAAACACAGAAAAAGCTATTTTTCTTAAGAAAAAGTTTCAGTGTTTTTAACAAATCTATGAATTGATTTGCAATTTCATGGTATCTTTATTGGTAATGTACCTTCAACAATGCAATCATGTGCACATACTTTACTGAGGAGGCACTTAACACAGGCTGAATCACCTATAGATATATTCAACTGATTACCTGTGCCTGTGAGAATACACGAGGTAAACTCTAATGATGTATCAATAAGTAGAAAGCTATGAAGCAAATTGAGACAATTATCTAAATCATCCTGTCAGAAATTCCCTTTTTATCTGGACTACTAGGCCAATAAAATATCATTAATTTCTGGAACCTGTGAAGTTTGCCTCTGTTCAGTTAATTAGGGAAATGAGTCTCTAAACAAATAAATAATGTAAACCAGCAGATTGTGGTCTCCACAAGAGTCAAAGGCAAATAACTGCTCTCAACCATTTGTAAATCCAGTCAAGGAAAAATAGTTTTGTCATAACGAAGAATATTTTATTATAAAATTTGTTATATGATATTGATTATATAAAATATTTTAACATCACGTTAAATTAATATGTTAAGGGAAATTAGATTTTGAAATGTTTTATTCTCATTGCTCTATCTTAACTGTATCTATTTGAATGTTCTAGTAGCATGTAGAATCTAATAAAATATCAACTATATAGGGACCTGAAAATACATTGTAGCTATTACTTATCTTTGCGTTTTCAATGTCAGAAAGTTCATTGTCATAGGTAATCTAGTAAGCAAAAGTTAATAATTTTTCTGAATTTAATTAATTTAAATAATTGTATCATGTGCATTAACCAGTTCATGTAATCCAAGTTAAATTTTACATGCCCTATGGCAAGAAGTTCTAAATCCCTAATGTACATCTCTAAAAGACCTGATTTCTTTCCCCAGACTTATCTCATCTTTTTATCTATCCATCTCTTTCTTCCACTAACAAAAAATTCTATCTCAATAGTTGTAAATCAGTTGTATCACTAGTCCCATTCCATCTATGAGAAAACTCCAGTTCAGGGATGTTAAGTGACTTCATTAATGCCCCACAGCTAATCAGTAGGAAATAACCAGGAGTGGAGGCTAGAAACCACTCCAGATCTATAGTCTTAACATTGCGCTATGTTTGCTGTGTACTCTCTGACATACAAGTCATAAAAGTATTTCTCAGTTCTCTGGGAAATTTCTACACTCCACTCTTGCTCAGCCTGTTCATATAACCAGAGCCCATCACTTATGTCAGCCTTTTGAGTTTTACAAATTTTGTTAAAATAAGATACCATTCCTGGTGCTTTTTCCAATTCTAAATAGAGTGATTTTTATTTTTGTGCAATTCTTAACCATTGGATCTATTCCCTTATTATGCCATTTGTCATTATTTACCAGCATTGTTTTTACATTTTTATAGGTATTCTCTTCTCTACTAATTTAGGGGCTCTTTGAAGATAATAATTACCTTGCTGTACTTTAAATACACCAAAATTTGTTATGATTGCTGAAGAAGTAAAAACAAAGTGAAAGCTACCAATTTTATTCAGTTCAAATAGTGGTATACCTCAGATATCGTGGATTCAGTTCCAGGCCACTGCAATAAAGCAAGTCAGACGGAAGTGTTTGGTTTCCCAGTGCATCTAAAGTTTATGTTTATACTACACTGTAGTCTAGTAGGGGTGCAATAGTATTATGTCCATCGTACCATTTCTGTCTATTCAATATATTGGCTATGGGTTTGTCATAAATAGCTCTTATTATTTTGCGGTGTTTCACCAATACCTAGTTTGAGAGTTTTTAACATGAAGGGATGTTGAATTTTATCAAAGGCCTTTTCTGCATCTATTGAGATAATCATGTGGTTTTTGTCTTTGGTTTTGGTTATGTGATGTATTGTGTTTATTGATTTGCAAATGTTGAACCAGCCTTGCGTCCTAGAATCCACCTGGTCTTGGGCTTTTTTTGATCAGTAGGCTATTAATTACTGCCTCAATTTCAGAACTTGTTATTGGTCGATTCTGGAATTCAACTTCTTCCTGAATTAGTCTTGGGAAGGTGTGTGTGTCCAGGAATTTGTTCATTTCTTCTAGATTTTCTAGTTTATGTGCATAGAGGTGTTTATAGTATTCTCTGATGGTAGTTTGTATTTCGGTGGAGTTAATCATTTTTTTGTGTGTCTATTTGATTCTTCCCTCATTTCTTCTTTATTAGTCTAGCTAGTGGTCTATTGATTGTGTATTTTTTTCAAAACACGAGCTCCTGGATTCATTGATTTTTTGGAGAGTTTTTATTTCTGCATCTCCTTCAGTTCTGCTCTGATCTTAGTTCTTTTTTTCTGTTAGCTTTTGAATTTGTTTGTTCTTGCCTTTCCAGCTCTTTTAATTGTGATGTTAGAATGTCAGTTTTAGATCTTTCCCACTTTCTGATGTGGGCATTTAGTGCTATAAATTTCGCTCTTAACACTGCTGTAGTTGTGTCCCAGAGATTCTGGTACATTGTCTCTTTGTTCTCATTGGTTTCAAAGAATTTCTTGACTTCTGCCTTAATTTCGTTATTTTTCTAGGAGTCATTCAGGAGCAGGTTGTTCAATTTCCATTTGATGGTGTGGCTTTGAGTGAATTTCTCAATCTTGAGTTCTAATTTGGTTGTGCTGCCGTCTAAGAGACTGTTTGTTATGATTTTAATTCTTTTGCATTTGCTGAGGAGTGTTTTACTTCTGATTACATGATCAATTTTAAGGTGCCACGTGGTGATGAAAAGAATGTATACTCTGTTGTTTTGAGCTGGAGAGCTCTGTAGGTATCTATCAGGTCTGCTTGATCCAGAGCTGAGTTCAGGTCCTGAATATCTTTGTTAGTATTCTGTCTCAATGATCTGTCTAATATTGTCAGTGAGGTATTAAAGTCTTCCACTATTATTGTGTGGGAGTCTAAGTCTCTTTGTGACTCTTTGCTTTATGAATCTGGGTGCTCCTATGTTGGGTGCATATGTAGATTAATAGAGTTAGCTCTTTTTGCTTAATTGAACCCTTCACCATTATGTAATGCCCTTGTCTTTTCTGATCTTTTTGGTTTAAAGTCTGTTTTGTCAGAAACTAGGATTGCAACCCCTTCTTTGATTTCTATTTGCTTGGTAAATTTTCCTCCTTCCCTTTATTTTGAGCCTATGTGTGTATTTGCACGTCAGATGGCTCTTTTCAAGGCAGCATAGTGATGGGTCTTGGCCTTTTATCCAGCTTGCCTTTCTGTGTCTTTTAATTGAGGCATTAAGCCCATTTACATTTAAAGTTAGTATTGTTATGTGTGAATTTGATCCTGTCATCATGATGCTAGCTGGTCATTTTGCAGAATTGTGCATGTGGTTGCTTCATAGTGTCCCTGGTCTGTGTATTTCAGTGTGTTTTTGTAGTGGCTGGTAACAATTTTTTCTTTCAATTTTCAGTGCTTCTTTCAGGAGCTCTTACAAGGCAGGCCTGAGGGTGACAAATTCCCTCAGGATTTGCTTGTTTGTAAAGGATCTTATTTCTCTTTAGCTTAGGAAGCTTAGTTTGACCAGATATGAAGCTCTAGGCTGGAAATTATTTTCTTCAAGAATGTTGAATATTGGCCCCCAATCTCTTCTGGCTTGGAGGGTTTCCACTGAGAGGTCCACTGTTACTCTTATGGCTTTCCCTTTGTAGGTGACCTGGACTTTCTCTCTGGCTGCCCTTAACATTCTTTCTTTCATTTCAACCTTGGAGAATCTGATCATTATGTGTCCTGGGATTGATCTTCTCATGGAGTGTCCTACTGGAGTTCTCTGAATTTCTTGAATTTAAATGTTGGCCTGTCTTGCTAGGTTGGGGAAGTTCTCCTGGATGATATCCTAAAGTATGTTTTCCAACTCGATTCCATTCTCCCCATCTCTTTGAGGTACCCCAATCAGTCGTAGGTTCTGTCTCTTTACATAATCCCATATTTCTTGGAGATTTTGTTTAGTCTTTTTTATTCTTTTATCTCTATTGTTTCCTGCCTGTTTTATTTCAGAAAGATAGTCTTCAAGCTCTGAGATTCTCTCCCCTACTTGTCTCCATTTTTCTCGGGAGGTATTTTAACAAAATTTAAAGAAATTACCACACTTTTTACAATTACTGTGTATGTTTGTGTTTATGTGTGCACGTGTGTGTATGATGAACCCAAGGAAAGAATATTCTAAAATGAGGACCAGTAATGTTATTTTCTATAGTTTTTTCTTAGTACTGAACCCAAAAAAGGAATATCGAGAATGTTTCAGACAGTAGAGTAAGATAGAGATAAATCCTACAATTGCCACTTATAATCTGGGTAACTTTGGGAAAATTACCTTTCTTTTGAACTTATTTTATTAACTTTTAGAATGAGAATAATAAAAATACCCTCCTCATAGGACTGTGGTGAAGATTAAGAGAACTAATTAATATAAAACACAGCATGGGGCCAAGCATATGGTAAGACCTTAAGGAATTTTATTTCGTTAATTATAAAACACACATTTCTCCCTACATTTTAACATCTCAGTAGAGAAAATGTCTTAGAATTTATGTTCTTATAGTTGATGAAGCAAGGATTCTTACCTAAATACATGATTTATAATTGAAACATAGTTTTTTGTTTAAAAATGTTAGAAATCAACACTATGAAATCAGATACCAATTCTGTCAGTGGGGATAGTTTGCAGTGAGGGAAATAAAATGGAGAATTTTGCAAATTAGGACAAAATTAATATATGTTCTCTTTATTTTGAGTTTATTCATATTTATTCCACAAACATTTGAATGGATAACCATGTGCCAAATTCTGTGTAGGACAAATTTCATAAGATGAATAACATATATTTGTCTTCAAAGATCTAACACATGTTCATGGAAGACAACAGAACCATATAAGTACAGCATCAGTTATAAATATCTAAGCTAATTGTTTACATAGAAGCAAGACTTAATTCATAGGAGAGGAGAGGGTGGGGAAAGACAAAATGAAAGATGTGATTTCTGAACTAAGTCTCAACAGACTGGTAACATGAGTCAGGTGAAAGGTGAGAGGAAGTACGCTCTAAAAGGAGGAAATAAAAAAGGACTTGGGAGAAGAAGAGAGAAGAATCTCTCTTAGGAAACTACATGATATTTAATTTGGATGAAATATTTGCAGAAGGAGTAAAAATTCTAAGCTAGAAGTTTAAGAAGGGTCAGCTTACGGAGGACCTTGCCTGGTTATGCTGATGGGCTTAAACTGTGGCAGGAGTTAAATGAAAATACTCTGGAACAGTTTAAAATGGAGGGGTGATACACTCACAATTTTATTTCCAAACTGTTGTTCAGAATGAATTAAAGTGGATAGGATTGAAGACAAAGAGGATGGTTAGGAGCTTATTGTGATCATCATTAACAGTGGTATTGCACATGTAGTAAAATGGGCAGATTTGAAAGATTATGAAGGTGATAGAATCTATAGTACTTGATGATTAATGGAATGTGAAATAGAGATAGAAGTTAAGTTGTAATAACCACATCTCAGTTCAAATGATAAACAAATGCCATGCAGATCTAGAGCAGGGGCCATGTTCCCAAACAATTTGCCTGAGCCATTGTGCCTAACACAGTGCTGAGTCCACAATAAGCCAATGCCAAACAGTTGTGCATTGATATATCATCCATTCTTCTGGAAATTCTTTGAGGATTTCACATACAGATGTCCATATTGAATTAATACATAATTATCAAGAGAAAAATAGCCCTGAGTCAACATTCTAGAAATGTTCAATTGTCTAGAGTGGATTTTCTCATTGTCCTTTTCCATAACAACATAGTGACTTGGAATATAACGTGGCACTAAAAAATAGAAGAATAAAAAGGGTCTTTGAAGCAATTCCTTTTTATCTTGCTTTATTCTTAACAGCAGTTCTCTGGTCTTAATTCTTTTATGGTTCCAGGAGAATTACATTTCAAATTCCGTAATTGCACAGGAGAATTGGAGTCTTGTAAAAATTTAGAATACTTCGTTCAAAGGCAACTTTTATTATGAACTGAACCTATGCTGTGATGCAGCCAAAGAAATTGTTTAGAGCATCATTAAAATAACCTTTTTAATAAGACCACTTTCTCTTGAAAAAGTGTAGTACCCTCTTATTTAATATTACCATATTACAATTGACTGTATGTTTGCTGAAAGTCTTAGAGTATGGTATTTAGTTTATTGAACTAGCACAAAATATACATGAACTTTATCAGTTTTCATTTTCCCTTTAACAAACGAAGAACAATATTAAATGACATTTTATGACATTTGATAGGTATTTAAAATTTGTTATTGCGGCTCTTCAGTGAACCATAAAATAACAAGTGTCACAATATGGCTGTGCTTTCATTATGAGAAATGCAAGCAGGAAACATTTAAATCAGCATCATTTTCCATCAATGTTTTGCTCCTGATTCTCTGCCAAGTTCATTATCTCCTCTGTGCCTAAATTTGTCCATATGAAAAATTAGGAGAAAAAAGAATAAATTAATACTTGCCTCTAAAATGATCTGAAACCCAGGTATGGAAAATCTTACACAAGTTTAAAAGACTGGTTTATTCACTACTGTCCTCATTCGTTTGAACAGACCGCAATGTTCTGTGGGAGAGTAGCTGAGAGACTGATGCAATAATAGTCCTTTTCACACCTTCCATCCAGAAAGACAATTTTTTTATTTGCAGCTGAAGCTATTATATCCAGAGCCTATGGCTGTTTGCCTCTTCTAAAGTTGGAAATTTTGAAAGAGAAACAGCAAGTAAAATGTGAAAATGTCCTCTGGGATATTATTTTATTACTACATGTCCCTTATTTAGCAAACTATATGCAATATAAAAAATTAAGTCTGGTGCCTGGTTGGCAAAAAATCAAATAACAGGTACTAAAGAAATAATGATGAGCTAACCTAAGCTCTGTGTGTGTGTGTGTGTGTGTGTGTATGTGTGTGAGTGCGCGCACGCCATAAAGCCAAGGTGGAGAGGTGAATAAAAAAGTCATTAGAGGAGAGGGAAAAGCCATATCGCTTGAAAAAAGCACCATGGTATCATGGTAGAAGAATGGGCTTTAGACGCTGGCAAGCTTGGGTTTCAATTATGGCATTTTGTAGTGCGCTATTTATTTCTGAGCATTAATTTCTACAATGAAAAAATACATAATACCATAGGGTTTGAAGGATCAAGTGAGATGATTGAAATAAAGTATGAATCAAGATGTCTGTCATTAATTCTCTCTTTTAATCATGGGAGCTATTGACAATGCAAAAGTGTACCCAGTATAACAGTAGAATGATAGTGTATCTCTTGAGATAACGTGTCAGGTTGTTCGCTAATGCCTTTTTCATAGAAATATTGTTGAGCTGCCTTCACATAGATAGAACATCTGGGTCACAACCACTTTGCAGAAAAGCTACCAGGTACAGCTTTTTGAAATTGCCTGCCTGGGTTTAAATTACAGTCTTGTAGTAACTCTTTGGTGCATTTTAGTAACTGCTGAACCGTGTGATGTTGAGTCAATCACATTGATTGGAAAGGAAATTTAACGCATCAGACAAGGGAAAGTTACTAAGGTTAGTTGACATAGAATGCTCTTAAGTTAGTTCATGGTAAGTTATGCAAGTAGAGGAGATCATAGATAACTAAATAGGCAAACTGCAAAAAGACTAGCAGAAGTTGGCCAGGCATAGTGGCTCACGCCTGTAATCCCAGCACTTTGGGAGGCCAAGGCAGGTGGATCATGAGGTCAGGAGTTCAAGACCAGCCTGTCCAACTTGATGAAACCCTGTCTCTACAAAAATATAAATTAACCAGGCATGGTGGCTGGCACCTGTAATCCCAGCTACTCAGGAGGCTGAGGCAGGAGAATTGCTTGAACCCAGGAGGCAGAGGTTGCAGTGAGCTGAGATCGTGCCACTGCACTCCAGCCTAGGCAACAGAGTGAGACTCTGTCTCAAAAAAAAAAAAAAAAAAAAAGACTAGCAGAAGCACATCAGTTGTTACTATTCTGTAGCAAGTTCAACCAGAATGTATCTCTTTGCTGTTCTCACAGCAAAAATTATAAATGTTTGAGGTGATGGATATGCTAATTACCTTCATTTGATCATTACACAATGTATACATGTATTGAAGCATCATATTTTATCCCATAAATATGTATAATTAGTATGTCAATTAAAATTAAAAAATAACGATAGCAACAACTATTACTCCCTTATATTACACTACTACAAGCGCTTTGTTTATAGCTTATATCCTTGGGAACCTTTTTTCTATTGCATATAGAATGTATGATACAGTCTGTGCTAAATGTCATAGAGCTTTTACAAGCCAGATAAAATTTGAGTGTACAGTTAAGAGGTCAAAAAGCCATCTGCCACAATGTAGAGCCCATCTCAGGAAATTAGGATATAAAAATTTTCCAGCAAATGATTTGTAAGAAGTCATGAGTTTTATGGGGAATAACTGGTTAGCCTGGTAACAGATCTAGTGAGTTCTGAAGAATCATATATCCCATCTATGCCCATATTGAAATAGTGGCAGTGCTAGGTTTGTTCTATAATGCATTGTGGGTAGCTGTTGCAGCCTTCTCCTACTCCATATCTTTATTTCATGTGGTCACTGACCTTATATTATTAAGTGTGTACAATATAGATTTAAAGGGTAGACATTGGGTCACCTTTGATGAAAGAGTCTTACTTCAAGAATATGTACCGTATTCTCTCAACTGACAGTAATTAATGTCACTGATATGGACAGTATTCATATCACCATAATGAAGCCATAAAACATTGTGGCTAAAATAATTTGTGAAGCTCATTTTGAAGAACTTGTGAAAAGCTAGGCCTTGGTGCCAAGGATAGAGAGAAAAGCAACAGTAATGAGGAAAGCACTGACACCTCTTTGGAGGAAAATGTGGCCATATTGACCAAAATTTAAAGTGTGCACACTTAGGCCAGGTGTGGTGGCTCACGCCTATAATCCCTGCACTTTGGGAGGCCGAGGTGGGTGGATCACTTCAGGTCAGGAGTTTGAGGCCCGCCTGGCCAACATGGTGAAATCCCATCTCTACTAAAAATGCAAAAATGAGCCGGGTGTGATGGCAGGTGCCTGTAGTCCCAGCTATTCAGGAGGCTGAGGCAGGAGAATCGCTTGAACCCGGGAGGTGGAGGTTGCAGTGAGCTGAAATCATGCCACTGTATTCCAGCCTGGGTGGCAGAGAGAGACTCTGTCTCAAAAAAAAAAAAAAAAAAGTGCACAGTTTATGACTCAGCATTTTCACTTTCAGAATATTTCTTTCAGATATTGTGTATTTTGCAAATTTCTACATAAATTAATAAGCTTTCAGCATTATTTGTCATAGCTGAATCTTGGAAACAAATACGTCTATTAATAGGTGACTGAATCAATAAATCATGTTACATTTAGAGAATGAAAAACTACACAGCCATTAAGAATTAAGATAGATGTATACATTTTGATAAGAAGCAATATGTCCAAGAAGTAGTTCTAAGTGAAATAAAGTACAGAAATGTGTGATTAGTACGCTATAATTTATTTAAAAACGTGCTTACAAAGTAATGATAAATGATTGAGGTGACAGATATCCCAATTACCTTGATTTGGTCACTACATACTATATACCTGTATCAAAATAACACGTGTACCTTGTAAATATGTAAAACTATTACCTGTTAATATTATGCATTATGTAAATTAAAAATTAAATGCCCAAAGCCATGTGTTTATACACATATTTGTAAATGCACTGATTATCTATATGTGACTTAGGAATAGCAGTTTTCTTTTAGAAGAACTGAGGGTCTTGGGTGGGAGAGCTATCTTACTGTCTAAAAATACTATTCAATATTTATTTTTTTCTATGTGGCTGGATTACTTAAGTAAAAGAAAGCTTTGAAGGCAAAGCTAGTGTACTGTGTGTTTCACTTAGGACATCACTTAAGACAAACCAATAGTTTAACACAGGAAGATTGTTATTGATGATTGGAACATACTAAAGTAAAAAAATCTGTCCTCACATTCTTTTCATTTCTTCCTATAAGCAATAAAAGAGATTCTTACCCTTTTGTTCAAATTGAAATCTCCCCCTTCACATTCTGTATTCCATCCTCTACCACAGTTACAGGGAGCGAGTACCTTTGCTTACCACCTTTCTCTCCTTTCCCTGCTCAACCTTACCTTACAAAAACAAAAACATAATTCTTCCTTGATCTAACATCCCCCTTCAGTTTTCATCTCTCTCCTCTCCTTTAGCCAAGCCCCATGTCTATACCGGTTCTCTGTATCTCTCATTGTCACTTCACTCCTCAGCCTACAGCAATCTGGTTTCCTTCTCCACAATGTCTCTGAAATTTTGCCAAAGTCACCAGTGATTTCTATGTACCTAAATCAAATGGTTACTTGTAAGTTCGTGAATTGTTTGACTTTTTAGCAGTGTTTGACCAGACTGACAACTCTCTAAATGAAAATTCAAAGAAAATCCCATTTTCTTTGCTTATTTTCTTCTGTTTTTTTTTCCCTCTTTATTTACTTTTCCTGTTTCTTTTTTGGTATTTTGCTTCTCCACCTATCCACTATATATTTATTTGTGCTTATTATGGCATTGCTGGTGGCTTGACGTTAGACACTCTGCTCTTTTCTCATACATATTTCTTAGGCAGTATTTCTTAGGAAGTATATACCCACTTCAGGTCCAAATGCCCTTTCTGTGCTAGCAGCTTCTAATATCTAATATATCTATTACCCTCTCCTGAGCTTGAGACTTTTCTGTCCAATCGCTGACTGGTTGTCTTTACTTGGATATCTCAGTGACACATAGTTGACCATGTGTACAAGTGAACTCATTGTGTTACCTCAAATTTTCCCTTCTGGGGTTTGCTATGTCACAAATTAATTACTTTTTGGAGGCAGATTTCCTTACTGTGATATCAAGAGTGAGTGAAAAAAGTGTCTGGTGAATAGTAGTTATTTCACAAATATTTATTGACTCAAGGATTGAATCAATTAATGATACCATGTATGATAAATATCATCAAATGTATAGTACAGAACATTTTGAAACATTTAAGATATTGAAAGACAAGACACCGAAAGTGCAGATTATCCTAATGTGGTAAAATTATGCTACCTCTCTAAGGATGACTATGAATAACAAGGAAAAAGAGTTAATCAAGCATTAATTCCCTGTTAAATTTCTTTCTGCTTAAAATATTTGGAGTTGTTTTTCTATCTTGTACTGAACTCTGATATGTATAGCAATGTATGTGTGAAATCCTGTGATTCAAGGGTAGAAACTAAATTAAAAAAAGGGAAGAATCAAAATTTAACAAAGTAGCTAATCTTTCTGAGGGCAAGTTGTCAAAATTTTGGCAATGGTGTTGAGTGTATGCAGTGTATGCATGACCAATATCCAGAAAGGGGTATCCTGGAAGAGGTTGTATATAGTACTCATCTTCACTCAGTGAATTTTTGACTGAAGGAAAATTTTTAAAAAATTTATTAGATACAAAGTAAGAACCCATGGTCCTGTGGGCTTTCTAAGGTAAAAAGACAAAAGGCAAGAAAAGATCTTTGCATCAAAGAGCTTAAAGTATTATAGTTAATTTAAACATATAGTTGTTTTACATTCTTTTAATAAAGGTTTAATCATATGCTTACATGAAGAACAAAGGAAGCTTAAATGTTGTAGTTGTTACTCTGTTCACCAGTATTTTGTTTTTCCTCCTGAGTGCATGATAGAATTGTACCTCCCTGACACTTGGAAATTAGGTGTGACCAAAAGACTACCCTGATTTGCCTATCGATTTCTGAATAGATGTAATGGCATGCAATTTTCAGATGGAAGTTGTAAGAGCTAGTGTGTGATTTGCCTAAGAAGGATGGTGACATTTTACTGCAGAGATAGAAAGTGAGGGCATATGGGCAGAAAGACCAGCATTAGCAAACCCATGGAAGACAGGGATTGAATTTATAGACATAGAGATACCTGAAACAGGGCAGCAAAATAATATTTTCAAGAACATGTTTTCTATCAATATTTCTAATTTAATTTTATAGCATCTAAGAAAGTGATATACCACTCACATAAAGTCTTAAACGCTCTACATTTTAATTAAACTTTAATTATATCTTTTAATTTCCATGGCTGGCTTTAAATTAAATTTAATTCTACTTACCAGGATTTTAAGAGCTTCTGAATTTGTCCTATCCTCAACTTTCTGCAACTGGGTTTACAGCTGTATTTTCTCACTACTGTTAATTGAATGCTGATGGTAGGGATAGTTCTTACTATTTTTTCCCCCTGTAACTATGTTCACTTAATTCAAGGTCCTCAGGTCTCTGTAAACCTTTGCATTCAAAAAACTAAAAAACTCCACACTGCTTCCTACTGCTAAAGGTTTTTCTTATTTCTGCCCCACAGGTTTTGGCTCAAGCTAAAGGAAGGATTGTGCTTGCCGTGAATGTAGATAGGCACAAGATCATATATTTCAAAGGAAATCATATTCAAATTCAAATACAACCTAATGGTGATCTTGTGGTAAATGTATCCACTAACACTCACTTTCTATTCCTTCCTAGTAATTGTTCAGTCTCCAGAAATTATTTCCGTAATTTATTCCTGTTATTTCAGAATTGAGTCTTTGAAGGGAATAAGCCCACTGAATTATATGTTGATACAGCCATTCACAAATTGCTTTTTTAATACATTCTTCAAAATGTAAAAATGTTGGTTTCAATTGGTCACTTTCTTCTCCAAACAATTTTTTTAAAGTGGATCAAACATGAAATAAGTTTATTTCTTTCTTTATTTTTTTGAGACGGAGTCTCGCTGTCACCCAGGTTGGAGTGCAGTGGCGCAATCTTGGCTCATTGCAACCTCTGCCTCCTGGGTTCGAGCAAGTCTCCTGCCTCAGCCTCCCGAGTAGCTGGGATTACAGGTGTGTGCCACCACACCCAGCTAATTTTTGTATTTTTTAGTAGAGACAGGGTTTTGCTATGTTGGCCAGGCTGGTCTCGAACTCCTGACCTTAAATGATCCACACACCTCGGCCTCCCAGAGTGCTGAGATTACAGGCATGAGCCAGCATGCTGGGCCAAAAGAAGTTTATTGCTCACTTAAAATCTGAATGGGTGCTCCTGATTGGCAGGTTCTTCAAGTGCTGATTCTGGAATTCAGGACTTCTCTTTGACTTCATCATCTTCATAAATGTCTTTCAATGTCATTGTGCTCAATGGTATCAAAAATCATCAAGGCCCTTATATGGGTAGGGCCTGAAGTGTTGCACAGCAGTTTTAATTGTTTTCTCTGAACTAGAACTCGGTCACATGACCACACCTAACTCCAAAGGGGACCCAGAAATGTGATCTACACTTGAAAAAGAGGAAATGGATTTGTCTTTTTCACACAATTGATATCTTAACTTCTGGGTTGACTAACATCTACCTTGTTTGATCTATATGTGGAGAAAAAGAGTTTATAAGAAATAAAGATGGGTAGCTCTGTGGATTTCTGGGCATAAGATCCTTCTGGATTTAGTGGGCAAGATCTTCAAACTGCCAATTGGGCAACATGGATGAAAAATTTTGGGTCTTGTGAATAATTTAAAAAGCAAAGAAAAAGAAACTTGACATTTTGGAGACAAACCTGTGTGAGTGTTTTATTGGTACAAACGTATTTAACACTAGGGGTTTTGTACAATTTTTTGCCTTTTCTACTAGAAAACAATGTAAAGTGATTTCACAATGTGAAGAGAAAAAAAAATTGCCGCTGTGACCAAACGCACAGTCTGTTGTGCAGCAACAATGGGCTTTGATCAACTCAGTCGTGATTCAGCTGTAGAAATGCTTTTCCTTCACCTTGTTTGAGCTTTTCCTTTCTTTCCTGTTTTGATTTGCAAAAGAAAATGTCTTTTTTGTGTGAACTTGTGTTGTACTCTGTAGAAAATTACGGGTTTTACTTTAATGGTTTAAGAAAAAAAGCAGGAAGAGCCCTCGTCGCTTTTCTTACCTCATCACAGAGTTTGTGTAGTGAATTTAAAAAGAGAAAAAAAATTGTTACATATTTGGAGCAAGGGAGTATGTTTTTCAAAAGAACCTCCTTCCTTTTTTTGTGTGTTTTTCCTTTTGTCCCAATGGGGAATCTAAATCTGTTTTAACTGCACAGACACATAGACAAAAAGTCATTTTTTATCTGCCAAGTGTGGTACCTTTGTTTATTTGTTATTAAACTGTTTAGACCCAGAATTTTTTTTTTCTTCTCAGTTTCTGAGATTAACAAAATTTGAAGGTAATGGTGCCTCTCATGGCAGAAAAAGTTTGTTAGCGCAAAGATAATTTATTAAGATTAGGAGAGGAAACTCTGGAAGGAATACTGCTATGTTAACAGCCTGATCTGTGTGTGTGTAAGTGTGTGTGTGACTGCACATGAGCGTGTATGCATATTATGTAGTTTTTGTCTCCAATATGATTATCTCTGAAGATGAAACATACTCAAGCCTGCATAATGCACGTTAATTGCCCCCACTGGTCCCAGGATTGAGATCTCCAGAGACAGAGCCTCAGACTCTGGAAGGGATAAGTAATGAGGAATGGGGAGATTTGTGGCATGTTCTACATCTGAGTAAAGCCTGAAAGGGGCCTTTGTAAAGAAAAGAATCAAAAGGTGCCTTACTTAGAGGCTATTTGACTCCCGGGCAACATTTAGGATATGGAATTATGGGCAGGTGGAGCAGTAACTTTTCTGTATCTCGAAGTCCACTTTGTTTCAGATGTTGGTATAAAAAGGAGCATAAATTTTCATGACTATTTTCCTTCACAAACAGCTTTATTATTAGGCTTATTAGACACAGAATTAAGAAATTTTGTCAAATAGTAATTTTGTCCTTGCAGATTATCTTCAAAAGGATTATATTCTTAGAAGACAGGAAAATGGGAGTCATTGCTGCCTGTCTAACTAGTTCAGGCTTAATTTGCTAGTCAATGAAAAACAAGATGTACTAGAAGAATGAAATGTTCAAAGCTTTATGGAAACAGCATTTTGCAAGACCATTTGGTGCAGGTTTGGGCAATAATTTGGACTAACTCTCTTGTTTATTCTCTTTCACACAGATACAGCGTAGCACATATTCACTCATTGTGTGTGACTTGGAGAGAAAACTTTGTAGGTGGTAGCTAATTTATTTCATGAAATTTAACATTCTGATTCAAAAGAGTCAAAAGAAAAAAGGACTGGGGAATCTAAGAGATATCCAACATGACCCTTCAGTAGGCTAATCTTTTGGTACAGAAAGGTCCTCAATGCACAATTACTGTGCTGAAAGTGGATCTCGCCTGTGAGATACCCCATGCAGAGGACTATCTGTGGCAAATGGAAAGTGAAACCTTGCTTTTTTTTTTTTTTTTTTTCCTTGTCCTCGTTCTCTGCCTCTTGGGCAGAATTTAATTACCTCTGTCCCTTCCCTGGTATTTGTTTGTATGTAATTGCCCCAGGTCAAGCTTTTTACACTTTTTCCTTGGGCTATTGAAATAATTTCCAAATTTTTCTGCTAATTTTATTAACCTGCACCAAATGGTCTTGAAAAATGCTGTTTTCATAAAGCTTCAATTATTTCATTCTTCTACTTAATACATCTTGTTTTTCCTTGACTAGCAAATTAAGCTTGAACTAGTTAGACTGGCTGGCAGCAAGTCCTCTGCCATGTGATTACCGTATATTTATACCTTATGTCTCACAACTTTTTGCAAGTACACTTGTACTATTTTATACTCTTCTCTGGGTATAATTTTTTGTATCCAAATCTTTCTACATTTTTATTATATGCAAATAACATTTTCCCGCCATCGTTATGGAAAATTCTATATTTTGTCAACGTTCATTTTCTTCTCAAAAGCCTTTTGTTATTATTTCCAAATGAATATTATGTGTGTCTCAGACAACCACAGAAAGTTTTGTTTTTGTCACATTCTACTGCTACTGTGTCAATGGCAGCATTTTGATATAGGTGGAGGGACGCTCACATCAACCCCATAATTTGTGTCAGCTTCTCCTGAAGTTATCAGAAGCATACAATTTAAGTAAAAACAGTATCTTCGCTATCCAAATGATGTTCCAAGGTAAATCTCCTCAGATCCCTTCCAGTACATGTATGCTCCAAGGCCTGCCCTATGTAGAACTTTTGGAGCCATCAACGTACTGCTTGAGGTTGCTTTGAACAAAAGGTATTTGACATAAGCTCTATAAGATCAGGGACTCTTTTTTATTTTATTCATTGTTCTTTATCTTCTAGAGCAATAATTTGCAAAATGACTATTTATTGAATAAACTAGGACGGAGGTGAAAAGGAAAGAACAGCTCATCCTTCCAAGGGGAAGAGAGCAGTATCCCAAATCCAAATTGAAGAAAATAAACATATATCTATTCACCAGAAGAGATAGAAGGGAGACAGGGCAGAATTTCTGTGGTTCTTACTATCTCTGTCACCTCTACAGGCCAAACCAGTGAGGACCTTGGAGACTACTAATATCACTGGATTTGTGAATGAGTTCATCCTCTTGGGCTTCCCCTGCCGCTGGGAGATCCAGATCCTCCTTTTTGTGGTCTTCTCTCTCATCTACCTTCTGACCCTCCTAGGTAACACATCCATCATCTGTGCTGTGTGGTCAAGCCAGAAACTCCACACACCTATGTACATCCTACTGGCCAATTTCTCCTTCCTGGAGATCTGCTGTGTCAGTTCTGACGTGCCCATAATGGCAGCCAATCTCATCTCCCAGACACAGAGCATCTCCTGTGCTGGCTGCCTGCTCCGGTTCTACTTCTTCTCCATGTGTGCTGCAGAGTGCTTATTTCTGTCAGTGATGTCTTTTGATAGGTTTCCTGCCATTTGTAGACCTTTGCACTATCCCACCTTAATGACCCATCACGTTTGTGCTCATTTTTGTGATCTTCTGCTGGGTGGGTGGCTGTCTCTGGTTATTGACCCCTTTGACACTAATATCTCAGGTGCTCTTTTGTGGTCCAAACACTATCGACCATTTTTTCTGTGATCTGGCACCTTTGCTGGCACTGTCTTGTGCTCCAATACCTGGAATTACTCTGACTTGTGGTATCATTAGCGCTCTCATCATCTTTCTTACCTTCTTGTATATCCTTGGGACTTATTTCTGTGTTCTAAGCACAGTGCTACAGGTGCCTTCAGGCTTAGGAAGGCATAAGGCTTTCTCAACTTGTGGCTGTCACCTTGCTGTAGTGTCTCTCTTCTATGGTTCTCTTATGGTGATGTATGTTAGCCCAGGTTCTGGGGACTATCATGGGATAAAGAAATTTGCGACCTTGTTCTATACTTTGTCAACTCCATTCTTTAATCCTCTGATCTACAGTTTCCGGAACAAGGATATGAAAGAGGCACTAAAGAAATTTCTGAGGAATCGCCACACTGTCGATTGAACCAGTGTGGTGATTCCTCAGGGATCTAGAACTAGAAATACCATTTGACCCAGCCATCCCATTACTGGGTATATACCCAAAGGACTATAAATCATGCTGCTATAAAGACACATGCACACATATGTTTATCGCAGCACTATTCACAATAGCAAAGACTTGGAACCAACCCAAATGTCCAACAACGATAGACTAGATTAAGAAAATGTGGCACATATACACCATGGAATAGTATGCAGCCATAAAAAATGATGAGTTCGTATCCTTTGTAGGGACATGGATGAAGCTGGAAACCATCATTCTCAGCAAACTATCGCAAGGACAAAAACCAAACATCGCATGTTCTCACTCATAGGTGGGAATTGAATAATGAGAACACTTGGACACAGGAAGGGGGACTTCACACACTCGGGCCTGTTGTGGGTTTGGGGGGGGAGGGATAGCCAAAAAAATTTATGTATGTGTTATAGTAGGAAATTTCTAAAGGATCCAAGAGGCAAATTTAATATAATTCATCATTAATGTTTAGAAGGATGAAAGATGATGAGACCAATGAGATCATGCTTTTTTCCATTTTATTCTACTTTTATATATTGGGAAGATAATTTGAAAGAATTAATTGGACCCATGGTTTCAGTCTTAGGAAGTTATTACTATTATGGTCCAGATATGTTTGTACCTTAAATAGATTTTTTTATTTTTGCAATTCTACTTAATATTTTCATCTATTTCTCTAAAACTGAGCTTCTGCTTACTCTTTTGGTTTTCAGTACATACTGTTTGGTATGTTTCAACATCCTCAGATTCTGCCTTCATTGAAGCAAGTTGTTTCATTTTTTTTGAGAGCATAGCAATGGTTGAATGTATTGCAACTATACAAATAGTTTTCCACTGATCCTTCAAATTACCAGATTAAAACACACACACACATACACACCCCCAAAACTCTCAACAATTCAGGGACAATTTTAAGCTCTGCCTTTTTATTCTTTATAATTTGAAGTATAACTTCTGGGGCTAACAAGGGCCTTCAATAATATTATGTTGACTTGATTGACACCTCACATTTTGCCAATGCTAACACTTTGGCATATGTAGACACAAGAAGGTCAGGTGATGCCCAGTGCAAACCAAAGAGCCATAGAATCTGTGAGATCGCTGACAATCTAGGCCTACTAAGCACTTTTTTGTGTGTGTAGTTCTTCATTAAACTCTGGAAAAGTGTTCCTCGGGTAAGTTCTACCCTCTAATTTATTTTTTTGAGTAGCAATTTATTAATTTGCAGTACTGCACTCCATGAGGAAATCTTGTGCTAAATCTTGATTCTGGGGTAACTCCAGCACTGACTTTACTACCAAAGTGTAGTTAAATATTTGCAGCATTCTGCTGGATATTTTTACATGACGATCTATTTCAAATTCAAATGTCTAATCCTAAATTTGTTAATCTCCTTTTAAATTAGCTCTAGCCATCCTTATTTTCTCATGGATCTGTTGATTTATAGCATGAACTTGAAATCTTGACAGTAGAATTCCTTACCATCTCATTCCCACTTCTAATCTGTCATTAAACAGATTAGGCATCTTCCCTGGGATCATTTGTCATCTTTACGCTCGTCTTTTCTGTGCAGGTTCCTAGCACTCCATATCTGTGATGGCATAATCACTTCATAAATGGTCTGTCTCTGTTATCTCCCATGTCAAATTCCAGAATTATGTTCTTGAACCTCCATCACTTATTTTCTCTCTACCTAAACACAGGAAAAAATCCCAAATTCTTTAGCTTGTAAATGTTTTTAGGTTCTGAATTTCTTCTTAAACTTTATTTTTACCTTAATATATGTCTCATCACTCCCATTTGACTCACTCTCTCTAATTCACAGAGTATAATCTTAGTTTTACAACCTGAGCTTAAAATTGTTCTATTCATACCTTGCCCATGTTTAGATGCCTCATACGAAACTTTCCTTGCCCACTGCAGTATATCATAATGTTATTTTCTAAGTTCATTGCCTTTTGAGTTTTGCCAAATATTTACTCAAAATTGGTCTGCCTTTTGGGTATCTATTACAGCATTGTTTGTGCTATTTTTTACTTTCCTACCAGTTAGAATATAAGTTTCTTTAGGGCAGGAAATATGATCTTTTTACTGCTCCTGAATGGCTTCTGCAATAGTAATAGCTCAATTATTGAGTTAACAAGGTTATTCGACAAACATTTATTGAGCTCCTATTATGTATTAGGCATTATCTGAGCACTGAAGCTATAGCAGTGATACCTATTCCCATGCAGTTTATATTACAGTATGGGAAGACAGGGATCAAGAAATAGAGAAATAAATATGTAGGATACAATATTTCCTGTGGTGATACATTCTTTGAAGAAGGGCAAAGCAGATGATGGGAATAGATACTAGTGAGAGTGGGGATGCTCTTTTAAATAGAATAGTCTGGGAAGGCTTCATTTAAGCTAAATTTTGAGGAGACCTATAGGAAGTGAGGGAGTTCTGTCCTTCCTATTTCAAGTTTACGGTGAGCAGGAAAGCAAGGCAATCATCAAAATGAGTGTGGAAATGCTCTAACAAGTACACTTAGAGATCCAAATCCAAATGGTGGCTATTAAGAAAGGCAAGAAGTTTGGTTTAAAAATGTGCCTGAAGATGCACCATTGAAAAATGGCAGCAGTGTGCAGGGACAATGCCACCTAACCCGCGTTCAGAGCGAAGCCACCTGGTCGGCCACCGGCAGCTTGGGGAAGAAGGGCATGTGGCGCGCCCACTCCACCTTGCTGAAGAGCAGCCGTGAAATTTTTAATAATATTTTTATTTAACCCAACTCACCCAAAATAGTATTTCAACATGGAATTAGTATAAACACTATTAATGAGATGTTTACATTCTTTCATCCCACCAAGTGTTCAAAACTGGTATTTGATTTTATACTTGGAGCACATCTTAATTAGGACTAGTCACTTTGCAGGTGCTCAGTAACCACATGTGGGTCGTGGCTATTGTATTGGACAGTACAGGTTAAAGAGAGGTCTAAGGACTAAATACAGACCTCAAATAATATTGAGGTTAAACAAATACTAAATTGACTTTATTTTTCAGAATGAAGTTTCTTTGCCTGGAGAGAACAAGCATGCTCTTATTTCACGTATTTTCCTAATTGAAATCCTGATTTTGGCAGGGGAAAGAACCCACTGAGTGTGCTACATGTTGGAACTAGTGACCTTACACATCCATGCTCCATCTCCTGGGAAAGTCTTTCCTGAAGAATTGTATCTTCAGTCTGTTTGTCCTGATTTGTCCCAAACTGACAGAAGTACCTGCAGAGCTGGCTAAAATTTCCCTTTCAGACATTGCTGTTTAGGTGAGAGTACAGAGTGGTTGGGAGGGTCAATCAGTTGTAGAACAATACTTAGGTATAATCCAATTTATATACCCACTCAAAACCCAGAGATTTTGCTTCTATATGTACAGAAAGAGGACTTAGAAATACATCCACCAAACTAAACACGTTGCTGAGGAGGCATGTGTGTGTGTAGAGGTGTGGAGATGTGAAAATTTTCACTATTTTATAGTTTTTTTCTTTACAACGACTATTCACTATAAAATATATGATTTATTTGTATAATTAAAAAGTAGACAAAATGGAATACAATTCATTTCAGTGTAGCTAAGCAAGCCCCAGTTAGTAAAACTTTTATGTTTTTATGTACACATTTAGACTAAAAACATACTTTAAAATATTTCAATTTTATATATGAACATCTTTTTCAAGCACAATGAGAGCTTAGATACAAGTGAGGATTTTAGTTATTCAGTTAATTATGGTTCGTTGGCCCCCTCCCCCAAGTCTAAGAATTTTTGGCTTAAAGAGAAAGAGTAAGTGAAGAATCCTCTATATCCATTCTTCACTAGTTCTAAGAAAGATGAAAGGCAAGTGCACAACACTAAATCTCACTGCAGCTTACAGAGATTTTCCAGATGATAATTTATTTACCTTTAGTTTAACTTTTTCTCTCAGAACTCCAGATAATGCAGTAGTAACTTATAAGCAGCACAGTATCTTCTAACAGCATTCATCATGAGATAGACAAGTCCTCAACTACCCGAGACAGTGTTTTACCCCTTACTCATCCTGCTCCCCTTTCACTGCTGTTGCATAGGTGGATAATTTGATTTCCACCCTGTGTAATCTCTAGAGGAAACATAGCTCAGAGATATGGAATAGTCAAAATGAATGGGTTGTTTGAGTTATTTCTCTCTCTCTCTCGCTCTGTGTGTGTGTGTGTGTGTGTGTGTGTGTGTGTGTGTGTGTGTGTTTGCTGTCCAGTATCTCCATCCCTTTTTATGTTTGAGGTAATCCCAATATTATCAGGCTTGGAGCTTCTATTTATGTAATTGTTGTTTATATTGCCAGATATTAGCTCTCCTAGCTTCCCTTGCACTTAAAGTTGTAGGAATGTACTCTTGCCTTTACCAGATACAGCTATACCAGGCTTTGAATCAAGAAGCAGAAGTAGGAAGAGCAACAATGTTGAAATATTGGCATAAGAAATGACAATGAACAGGCTGGGCGCAGTGGCTCGCGCCTGTAATCCCAGCACTTTGGGAGGCCAAGGTGGGCGGATCACGAAGTCAAGAGACCAAGACCATCCTGGCTAACACGGCGAAACCCCGTCTCTAGTAAAAATACAAAAAAATTAGCCGGGCGTGGTGGCTGGCACCTGTAGTCCCAGCTACTCAGGAGGCTGAGGCAGGAGAAAGGTGTGAACTGGGAGGCGGAGCTTGCAGTGAGCCGAGATCGCACCGCTGCACTCCAGCCTGAGACGGAGCAAGACTCCGTCTCAATTAAAAAAAAAAAAAAAAGACAAGAAGGTAGCACACTTATTGCAGAAAAGACAAGTTCCTAGAACAGAATGACAGTGGTGCTCATGTAGCATCTTGGTGGCCTATAGCACAGCCATGACTGCAGTCATGATTTTTCATCATCAGTTCTGCATGGTGGTTTGCATATGTATCTTTGAATTTGAGCCTCAACTCTGGCTCTTTAGCTTTCATTGGTTCTGTGAGATTCCTGCTACTCCATCAATAAGTCCTTTTTCATTTACATAATCAGCTAGAGTCAGCTTTTATTGGATGTAAGTGAGAACACTGGCAGAATTATACTCTAATAGAGTTATCTCAGGTGGGTATAGTCTCTACAATCTGCAGAGGGCAAGAAGAACTAACGCTTTGGCATTGCAGGTTGCTCTGAATTCTCCCTTAGCTCCACAGTGGTCTATGAAGCTTTATCCCTTAACGTATTTTATTGAAGAAAATATTCCAAAAGTCAAAATAACTTGGAAGAGGATTTTAAGATGTCTGTGTGTGTCTGGATTTTTTTCACTTAGCATAATGTTCTACAGGTTCATCCACATCGTCACTAATGGAAGAATTTCTCTATTTTTTAAGGGCCAAATAGTATTCCACTGTGTGTATATATCACATTTTGTGTATCTACTCATCTGATGACAAATACCTAGGTTGCTTCCGTGTCTTGGTTATTGTGAATAATGCTGCAATGAATTTGGAAGTACAGATATCTCTTTGACATATTGATTTCAATTTCTTTGGATATATGCCCAGAAGGGAAATTGCTTAATCATATGGTAATTCTATTTTAAGTGTTTTGTGGAACTTCTATACTGTTTTCCACGGTTATATTAATTTACATTTCCACCAACAGTGCACAAATGTTTACTTTTCTCTGCACCCTCAGCAATACTTATCTTTCATCTTTTTGGTGATAGCCATTCTAACAGATATGAGGTGATACTTCATTCAGTTGAACTCTTAAAAGTAGAGAGTAGAATGGTGGTTAACTAAGGCTGGAGGGAAGAGGTGGCTGAGGGGAGGAGAGATGTTGATCAAAGGATACAACAATTCAGTTTGATGGAAGGAATAAGATTTAGTGATCTGTTTCATAGAATGTGACTATAATAAATAATAATGCACCACATATTTAGAAACTACTAAAAGCGTGGATTTCAAATGTTTTAACCACAAAAAATAAGTATAGGAGATGATGAATTTATTAATTAGCTTGATTTAATCATTTCACAATGTAAATGATTATCAAAACATCACATTGTATCCCATAAATATATAATTATCATGTGTTCATTAGAAATAAAATTTAACAAATAATAAAAGAGGTATATGTTCACAGAAAAAACTTGAATATGAAGTCTAATGTAGACTGGATGTTTTTAGTCAAATCATTAACTTTCTCTTCAACATATTGGAGACAACATCACAAACACCTCTCTTTCCTATCCCCCTAATTTTTGTGCCTTAGTTAAAAATATGAAAATTTCAGAGTGTTGGCAGGTGATCAGGTTAAGTAAAGAAGTTTATGTTAAGTGGTGACTTTTTTTAATTTTTTATTTATTTTTATTTATATGTATTTTTTATTATACTTTAAGTTCTAGGGTACATGTGCACAATGTGCAGGTTTGTTACATATGTATGCATGTGCCATGTTGGTGTGCTGCACCCATTAACTCGTCATTTACATTAGGTATATATCCTAAAGCTATCCCTCCCTCCTCTCCCCACCCCACAACAGGCCCCGGTGTGTGATGTTCCCCTTCCTGTGTCCAAGTGTTCTCATTGTTCAATTCCCACCTATGAGTGAGAACATGCGGTGTTTGTTTTTTTGTCCTTGAGATAGTTTGCTGAGAATGATGGTTTCCAGCTTCATCCATGTCCCTACAAAGGACATGAACTCAAACATTTTTTATGGCTGCATAGTATTCCATGGTGTATATGCACCACATTTTCTTAATCCAGGTGGTGACTGCTTTAAGGTAGCTTATATTTTGGTTGATAGAGTTGATTCCCTGGTATCCTATGTTTATTTTCTGTAACGGTAGATGTTTCTTCACTATAAGCTCAGAAAGTATAGAAGCCCAGGTTTGAGTAAGAAATATTTAATTATTTGGCATATTTGAATGTATGCATGCCCTTCTATGCATTCTCTTCAGAGCTGGAACAGGAATTTCCCTTAAGAATCTATACCATTTCTAGTTTTTATTTGCTGCGCACCATGAACACCTTACCAAGACTTAGTAATAAGGAAAATACAAATTAAAAAACATTCTTGTTTCAGTGACGGATTCTCGTTCTTTGATATTATAGATAAAGCAATTTAATTTTTGTGAGTACAGTGAGTAGATGCTGTTTTTCATTATAGAAAAACCTATAGTTGGCAAGGAAAAAACAGTTGATAAATTTAAAACACATTTAAGATGCATAAAGTTGCATTAGGATAAAGCCAAAATACAAATTAGAAACATGGGTCTTAGCTTTGTACATACCAACTGAATTACATATAGTTTTAGGACTTAAAAAATCTCCAAAATGGAAAAATGATACATAGATGAATAAAAATTGTACAGATCTTACCTACGATGAAACTTAGGACTTTGTATACTTTTTGCTTTGAGATAGGATCAGGGCTCTTTGTGTGTAATGAGTCACGCTTTTATGAGTAAGAAGCCAAGTGCTCAGACATCACCAGAAAATAGTTTTTTTTAAAATGAGAGAAATTTTGCATTTCTTATGGAATAATTGTAGAAGAATGTATATCATTTCAGTGTGTTCCAAGATATTTCTTTTGATGGCACTCCCAGCACTTTTTTAAGGGCATCTGTCATATCTTTGTTCCAGAGACTGTAGGTCAGGGGATTAAAGAATGGGGTTGCTGTGCAGTAAAACAATGTCACAAATTTCTGTGTCCCAGGGCGGCTCCTGGAGCCTGGACTCACATACATCACCATGACTGAGCCATAGAAGAAAGAAACAACCAAGAAATGGGAAGCACATGTAGAGAAAGCTTTGTTCCTGCCTGAGCCAGCTGGGACCCACAGAACAGCTCGCAAAACTAAGATATGGGACCCAAGAATGTAGAGGAAGGTGATGAAGATGATGAGAGAGCTTACTGTAGCACAAGTCAGAGTAGTTTTGGGAACTGGGGCACAGGACAGTGCCAGCAATGGTCCCAGGTTACAGAAAAAATGGTCAGTGATGTTAGGGCCACAGAAAGGCACTCGGGACATAAGCACTGCAGGCATCAGTATGGATAGAAAACCACCTGCCCTGCAGAAGGCCACTAATCAGACACACAGGTGGTGAGTCATGACTGTGGGATAATGCAAAGGTCGACAGATGGTAAGGAACCGATCAAAGGACATCACAGACAGAAAGTAGCCTTCTGCAGCACACATGGAGAAGTAGAAGAACTGGAGCAGGCAGCCAGCATAGGAGATGCTCTTGATATGGGAGATGAGATTGGCCAACATTTTGGGACATCAGAACTAATGCAGCAGATCTCCAGGAAAGAGAAATTAGCCAAGAGGATGTACATAGGTGTGTGGAGTTTCTGGCTTGACCACACAGCGCAGATGATGGATGTGTTACCCATGAGGGTCAGAAGGTAGATGAGGGAGAAGACCACAAAGAGGAGGATCTTGGTCTCCCTGCAGCAGGCAGGGGAAGCCCAGGAGGATAAATTCACTCACAGGCCCAGAAATGTTATTGGCTTCTACGACACTCATTCTTCTAATCTATGAAGGAAATGAACGATAGGGACCACTACAATAGCCATTTTCTCTCTCTTAAAGTGTTATATTTATTTCTTTTGACTCCAAGACAATCTTTTAATGCACTTTTGTGAAAAGTTCCATATAGTTCTCAATTCAATAACTCACCTCCCATCTTTGTCTTAGTTCAATGAAATCAGGGTTATGGGAGAATGTGGCTCAACATGTTACTACGTGATCCCACAGCCTCCACTATATCATATCTCTGTTTTTCAGAGTGTAAGTTTCATTGACATCACATAACATAGGGTCCAAACGACTTTCTCTATTTGCATTTAAATTAATTCTGCTTTGATGTAATGTTTTGTAATACACATATTCAAATATTTATACATATAATTTCTCCCTATTAGAAAATTTTGTATTGTATTTTGAAAAATTCTAAGAAAAATCAGTTTAAACATAATCTAAAATTGAATTAGGTCAGTACAAAAAGAGAACCTCATTATGTTGTCAATAAATTATGTTTTTAGGAGATCTGTCCTGGATAGTTCTGTTGACTGAAGTAGGGTACTGAGGATGCTGCCACAGATTTCATGCTAGCACGTGTTTGTTTGCTCCGTATAGTGGCATTTAACTTCTATTTGCTGAGCAACAGCTAATTTGACACAGAAAAGTTGCCTTCAACCCTTTACTAGGAAGATCTTGCTCTATGATAGAAAAACAGCAAGAGGCAGATGGAAAAACATCTATTTCCTTAGCTCAGATGCCTTCTCATCTTGTTACTATACTGGTGATGAATTATCTTATATTAAAAAATAAACCATAAATTTAACTTTAAAAATGTGAGAGGAATACACCAGTGTAGAATGTTAGTGTCAGAAAGGACCTCTAGTCTTATTAAGCTCAATTTCCTCGTATCACAGAAACTGAGACCAGAGAGGTTAGAATGATCCAAAGTTATGTTGGCTGTTAGAAGAAAGAGGCCTAAAACTTAGGTGTTCATATATTCAGTTCAGACTTTTTCTCATAAGCCTCTGCTATTGTGGGACCCTGCTTTTTTTGTCAGCTCAGATGGTTGCAAAAGTATATTGTGTATGTATTATACTGTTCCTTCCTTTGAATTAGATCCCTATTTATAATAAAGGAGGACATTAACCAGGTTACTAACCAAAGCTGACAATTGCTACATCATATCCCCTATTCACCTTTGACCTGCCCTTTGCCCTAATTCTTGGCACCATTTATGGCATAAATCTACTTTTGGACACTTTCTTTAAAGAACATTTGACTTCTAAGATAGTAAGCATAACAACAACCACTGTCATGTATTAAATGTTTATTGTGACAGTTACATAATGTTCATTATCTCATTAAATCCTCCTCCCCTCTCCTCTCCAGTTTTAGAGTAGAAAAACACTCTCACATGTTTAAATGTACCATTTGAATTCTATTGTGCTTCTAAATACATTGAATCTAAAATTCAAGTTTTTATTCTGTCCAGCTTTCAGCTATGTATATAATGTGCTAGCTGTTTTCTCTCATTGCATCTGATTCCATTTGTTCACATGTAACTTGCTTCTATCTAATTTTTGCTTGTGAATTTGAAAGATTTGCCTCTGGACATCTGTGTTAGGAACTGAGGTTATATATCATAGGAAAATATTATTTACATATTTCTTATAGATTATGTAGTTTACATTAGATACATCACCTGAGGCCAGGTTTGTGTCCTTCCCTTCCATGCAGCGAGTCCTCCAGGCCCCAGGTAGGTCTAGAGGTGTTTTCTGGTACCCAGGGACTGGAGTCAAAAACCTTAGACGTCTACCTGGTGTTCTATTATACTGCAACTGAGCTGGCCCTCAAGCCACAAGACACAGCCCTTCCCACTCTTCCCTCTTCCTTCCACAGGCAGAGGAGAATGACCCTGTGGCCACCACCATCACAGGCCTATGGTGAGTAACTGCCACACTCCCACCTGTGTGTACTTAAGGCCCAGAGGCTCTTCAGTCAGCTTGTGGTGAATGCTGCTATGCCTGGGAATCACCTTTCATGGACATGGGCTCCCCTCTGGCCCAGAGAAGCTCCAGAAATGCCATAAAAGAGCCATGGGCTAGAATAGGGAACCTCAAGAGCCCCCTTGATGCACTATGCCCATTTGACTGTGCTGGTACTTAAGGTACAAGACAAAGTCCCCTTGACCTTTCTCTTTGCTTCTCTCAAGCAGAAGGAGTCTGTCACTGTAGTCACCACAGCTGGGAATGTGCTAGGTCTCACCTGAAGCTAGTATGTCTTGAGTCTCACCCAAGGCATATGGCATACTATTTGGGTGTTGCTTCTCATTATTCAGGGCCCAAGGGCTCTTTAGTCAATAGGTGATGGGTCTTGCCAGGACTGGTTCTTTCCTTCAAGGCAGCAGGTTCCCTTCTAGCCCAGGGTGTGTCTAGAAATGTCATCTCGGAGCTAGGGCCTGGAATGGTGCCTCATGACGGACCAATATTCTTTCTTACTGTAATGAGCTGGGATCTAAGATGCAAGACAAAGATCATCTTTACTCTTCGCTTTCTTTTATTCAAGCAGAAGTAAAGGATCTCTTTTGGAGCCACGAGCTGTGCTGCTGGGGTTAGGGGAGGTGTGGGCAAGGACTCTCTTAGCTGCCCCAGCTGTTGTTTCAGTAAGTCATGTGTTCCCAAGTCCATTGGCTCCAAGCCCAGCTCAGCACCAGGACTTGCTGTCCTTGTGGCCTAGACTGCCTGTCAAATTTATTTAGGACCCTAGAGTACGCCAGCTCATGGCGGCAAGGCTTGCCAGAACTCAAGCTCCATCTGCTGGAGTGGGCAAATTGCCCTCTGGCTGGACCTTGTCTAAAGGCTCCCTCTGTGGGTCTGTGTCAGCTGAGTTCAGCACAGTTTTGCTTTCCACTGTGATAGGGCAGCACTGAGTTCAATGCAAAGTCTCACGATTGCTGCACTTTCCCTCTCCCAAACACACATTTCTCTGTGCCATGTGGCTGCTGTAGTGGGGATGAGGGAGAGTTGGCATCAACAATTCACGGCTCTCTTTCTGACTCTCTTTAGTGCCTCTTTCAATGATACGGAGATAAAACCAGGTATTGTGAGTGCTCATATTATTTTTGGTTCTTATGAAGGTGCTGTGTTTGTGTAGACAGTTGGTACATTTGGTGTTCCTGTGGGAGGACAATTGATGGAGCCTTCTATTCCACCATTTTGCTCCAGCCACTTCCAAATGCTTTTTCTTTTTCTTATTTATTTATTTTTGAGATGGAGTCTCACTCTGTCACGAGGCTGGAGTGCAGTGGTGCAATCTCCGCTCACTGCATCCTCCACCTCCCAGGTTCAAGCAATTCTCTTGCCTTAGCCTCCTGAGTAGCTGGGGTTACAGGTGCACACCACCACACCCAGCCAATTTTTGTATTTTTATTAGACATGGCGTTTCACCATGTTGGCCAGGATGGTCTCGATCTCTTGACATCGTGATCTGCCCACTTTGGCCTCCCAAAGTGCTGAGATTACAGGCGTGAACCACTGCACCCGGCCCCAAATGCTTTTTCTGAATCTATGGAGATTATATGTTTTTAGTATTTTTGTTAATGTGGTGTACTACATTTATTGATTTGCATATGTTGAATCATCCCTGCATCTCAAGGATAAATCTCTCTTGATCATGAGGTGTGATACTTTTAATGTGCTGTTGAATTCTGTTTGTGAGTATTTAAGTTTGTTGAGAATTTTTGCATCTTTATTCATCAAGAATATTGACCTGTAATTTTCTTATCTTATAAAGTCTTTGGCTTTGATATCACAGAAATACTAGCCTCATTTAATGAGTTTGGAAATGTGGTTTTTCTTCAATAATTTGGAAGAGTATATAAAGAACTGGTATTTTTAAAAAATGTTTGGTGGCATTTATTAACAAAGCCATCTCTTCCTGAGCTTCTTTGCTGAGAGGTTTTTAATCAGTTTTTTATTGGTGATGCAATCTTCTTATTCACTATTGGTCTGTTTAAATTTTTGGTTTCTTCATGATTCAGTCATAGTAGGGTGTATATTTCCAGAAATTTATCATTTCTTCTTGGCCTTCCAATTTATTGTCAAATAATTGTTTATAGTAATCCCTTATGATCATTTGTATTTTTATGGCATGAGTTGTATTGTTTCTTCTTTCATTTCTGATTTTATTTATTTGAGTCTTCTCTATTTTTTCTTGGTTAGTCTAGCTAAGATTTGCCAACATTATTTTATATTTCATCGATTATTTCTATTGTTTTCCTATTCTGTATTTGATTTATTTAATTTCTGTTCTAATCTCTGTTATTTAATTCCTTTGGTAAATTTGGGCTTAATTTGTTCCTTTTTACTTCCTTGAAGTTTAAAGTAAGGTGGGTTTGTTTTTGGACATTTTTCTTATGTTTAGAGTAGATGTTTATTGCTATACTGCCTCAATACCACTTTAGCTGCATCCATAAGTTTTGTTATTTTGCGTTTTTGGTCTTTTTTTATAGGTAGATACATTCTAATTTCCCTCGATATCTTTTTGACATAATGGTTTTTCAAGAGTGTATTGATTTCCACATATTTGTGAATTTTCTAGTTTTGCTTGTTATTGATTTTAGTTTTATATCATTATAGATAGAAAAGATACTTTTCCTACTTACATAATTTCTATATTCTTAAATTTACTTGTGCTTGTTATGTGGCCTAACAGATGACCTATCCTGAAAAATGTTATATAGTCACTTGAGAAGAATGTGTATTCTGCTGTCACTGGATAGTTCTGTACATGTCTATGAGGTCCTTTTGTTTTATAGGATGTTTAAGATTGCTATTTCCCTACTGGTTTTCTGCTAGAGATTCATTCCCATTATTGAAAGTGGCGTAATGTTGTGTCTCATTGTTATTTTATTGCTGTCTATTTCTCCCTTCAAATCTGTCAATGTTTGCCTTATATATAGTTAGGTACTCTGATCTTGGGTGCCTATACATTTATAGTTGTTCTAACATCCTGATAATTGACCTTTTTATCATTATATAATGACCTTTTTTATTTCATGTGACTGTTTTTAACCTAAAGTCTATTTGGCCTGGTATAAATTTAGCCACTCCTGCTGTCTTTTCGTTATGATTTGCATGGAATATTTTTTTCCCTCCCTTCACTTTCAGCCTTTGGGCATCCTTGAATCTATAGTCTCTTGTTGACAGCCTATAGTTTGATTTTATTTTTTAATGCATTTGGACGTTCTTTGTCTTTTGACTGGGGAATTTTTAATCCATTTACAGTCAGCTGGATGTAGGTTCCACATCCACAGAGTCAACCAACCATGCATAAAAAAAATCACACACCCCCATAAAAATAACAATGATAAAAAATGGAATAATAAAAGTAATGCAAACTAGATGGTGTAACAGGTATTTATATACTGTTTACATTCTATTAGATATGATAAGTAATCTAGAGAAGGTTTAAAGTATAGGGGATGGTGTGCATGGGTTATATGCAAATACTATATCACTTAATATAAAGGACTTTAGCATCCATAAATTTTGGTATCCACAGGCGATCTTGAAACCCATCTTTCATGGATACTGTGGGACAACTGTATTTACAAAGTTGTATTAATAAGTAAGGACTTGCTATGGCACTTCATTTTATTTTTTCTGTCTGTGTTATAATTCTTCTTTCTTTTTTCTCTTGCTGTTTTCTTTTGTGTTCATTGATATTTTTGTATTGATATGTATTTATTTCCTTTTTCTTTTGTATATTTTCTGTAGTATTTTATTTTTTTGGTTACCTTGGGGCTTATGTAAAACATCATATATATGGAGGCAAAGTTTATTCTAAGCTAATAACAACTCAACTTTAATCACATAAAAAATTCTGCACTTCTCCCACTTTGTTATTGATGTCACAATTACATCTTTTATATGTGTATATCTACTATTATACTTCTGTAGTTATAGTAATTTCTACTTTGTTGTCTTTTGACTTTCATATTAGAAAAAGGTGCACCACCATTACAATGTTGCACAATTTTGTATTTGTTTAAATAATTAGCTTTTCCAGTAAGTTTTATATTTTAATATGCTTAGTTATGCTTAGTTTTGCTATTTAGTATTATTTTGTTTGAGTTAAAGAGCTCACCTGTCATTTATTTTATGACAAATCTAGTGGTGATGAAGTTGTTTCTCTCAGCTTTTGCTTGAGAAAGTCTTTATCTATTCTTCATTTTTGAAGAAATTTTTTTTCCAGAAATTGCATTCTTGGTTGAGAATTTCTCTCTTTCAGCATTGTCTTGCTTCTTCAAAATTCACTCTTTTTGACTTTTGACATATAATTATAATATGTCTTTGTGTGGACTTCCCTTGAATTTGTTTTATTTCAGTTGCATTTGGCCTCATGTATCTGTATGTCCTTTTTCTTCTACAGATTTGGCAAGCTTTTAGCCAGCACTGTACTTTCCTTCTTATTTTTCTCTTCTCCATCTGGAACTTTTGTGATCAGTATATTATTTCACTTTATGATGTACCTTAAGTCCGTAGGTTCATTGGCTCTTTTTTATTCTTTTTTCTTTTGCTCCTTTGTCTATGTAATTTGAAATGACTGGTGTCTGGATTAGCTGATTCCTTCTTCTGTTTGATCAAGTCTACTTGTGAACACCCCCTAGTGATTTTTTTTATTTCCGTCATAGAATTCTTAGCTCCAGAATTTCTAATTGTTTCTTCTTGTAAAATTTCTATATCTTTACTTCAATATTTTTATCTTGCTCATCTATCATTGTTGTGATTTCATTTAATTGTGTCTCAGTGTTCTCTTGTGGCATGCTGAATTATCATGGAGCCCCAGAGCTCTCCTTTCCTCATGTGTGCTGCTTCTTTCATATGTGATAACTATAATGAACTTTAACAAATCTCAAATTCGAGTACATTCCCAATCACCTTCTAAAAGTAACCTCCTAACCTCCACTGATTCCTCAGATGTGGTAGTTTGAAAGTTGTTCCCATAGATTTCAACTACAGGCCAACCAGAGGGGACCCATGGCCACTAGAATGGTCCAGTGACCTTTATACTTCAGTGTGTGTAAGAATCACCTGGGATCCTATTTAACATTCAAGTTTCTGAGCCTTCCCCTAGCCAGTAGATTTTATATACAAAATGTGAGGGAACCATTACCCTTTTCAAGTGATTAAAAAAAAATCAGAGGTGAAGCAATTAGATTTGGCTACATTTAATTTGATGTTTTATCTTTCAAGAGATTGGGATGGTTCTAGTGAAAATTATAGCTAATCTGAATACGGCTTCTAACTGTTACTGGGTGTTTATGTCATTTCTTTACTCTGATCAACAATATTGGGCAGGTGTAGTGGCTCACGCCCATAATCTCAGCACTTTGAGAAGCCAAGGCGGGAGGTTCACTTGAGCCCAGGAGTTTGAGACCAGCCTGGACAACCTGGGGAGACCTCCATCTCTGCAAAATAAAACAAACAAACAGACAGACATAAAAACACCTAGCTGGGCGTGTTGGTATACACCTTTGGTCCCAGCTACTTGGGAAGCTGAGGTAGGAGGATTGCTTGAGCCACAAGGTCAATGCTCCAGTGAGCCGTGATTGTGTCACTGCACTCTAGCCTGGAAAACAGAGCAAGACCCTGTCTCAAAAAACAAACAGCATACGTCTTATTGTTTTGTTCGCTTATTTCTGAAATAATCTCGTTAGTAAAGCACTATACTTGATAAACAGTCTGATTTAATGAATAAGGATTTAAACTTTAGATTTTGGAGAGACAAGATTAACTAACCGTTGATCACAAGGAGCACACTGTGCAACAAGCTACTCTGATAGGACAAAAGTCCTAGGAGGGCTATATAAGCAAAATCTCACTCAAGGACTGAACTTTAAGCCCTATTCACTTTTAGCTAATCAAGTGATGGGCAAGTTGACATCTATAGGGAAGAGAGAAGAGGATGTGTTTCTGAGCTTTCCTTCTTCAGTCAGGCAACTCTGTGATTCATTAATTTCCTCCCTTCCTCCTCCACACCCTGGCATGTTGGCCCATAGCCACAAGGTGGCAGGATAACCAGTAACATTTTATTCAAGCCAACTGAAGCCCTGCGGGGGCTTTGAAGTTCACACACACTGTCCACCTTCCACATACTGATGCTGGGAGCAATTTAGAGCAAACATCATCCAGAGTCATATTACTAGATGACTGGATTGCTTCTTTTGTCCCTCAATCCTGCTCTCCTTTCAGTGCTAACTCAAGGAAACACTAAGTTTACACTTTGCAGGAGCCCCTGGAATAGTTAAAGCTTTAAACCATTTCACATCCAACTCAATGATCTGTTACAAAAAATACCTGTTGATTTTCTGTCATTTTAATGGATACCTAGCTTCCTTTTATAAATTGGCATTACAATAGTCTGGTATTAGTATTGATCTGGAATCTATGTGCTTCCAGATCAGTCCCATTCCTTTTACTTTTAGAATAAGACAAAATGTAGCTCAGACACCATTCTTCCATGAAACCACATCTCTCTAAGAAGATGCTGGAAAGTCAGTCTTTCTCAAAAAGTAGTTTTCCCCTCAAGTTTCAACACATTACTCCACTGTAAGTTTAGACAGTATAAATATGTATAAAATATATATATATAATATATATATATTTTAGTATAATATTATGCTTCAGCTTTTCCTGCATGTTTTTCTTTCTTTTCTCTTACACCCTTCTCTGTGATCTCATCTGACAATCACTACCATGGCAACCAAGCCTCTGTGACGTTCCAGCAAGCTCATTGTCTTCTCTTCACTAAACTTTAGTTAGTAGTTGGTCCCAGTCAGTAACACTCTGGGAGGGCTCAGGCCACATCACGAAATGTGACAGGATAGCCTTGAACTCATCAATTGCTGGGTAAGAAAGAATTTTAATGCAATGGCAAACAACCAATCAAACAAGCAAACAAAAACAATAAACCCTTCCTTGAGGACCAAGAAGACATTGATTAGCTAACCTAAGAGCTCCAGGTGGAGACCTAGGTCCTGATTGGGTTTCTGAATTTGACCACTAGGCAGAAAACTAGCACCCAAAACCAGTTGGAATAAAATTACCCACCTACAGTGGAGCCAAGGCCCCCAGATCCTTTTTGTCAGGTAAGAATAGGTTGAAATAACCTGGCTGGTTGTGGGACAGGCCCCCTCTGTGAGTGGTGCAGTTAAGGACACCCAGACTGCCCTTTCACTCTGCTTTCCCTGGGGTAATGTGTATGGCTCCTAGTCTTTCACGTTCTCTTCTGTAATTCGGGAGGAGGAAGAGAAGATACTCACTGCACATATTGTGTCAGTTAATACTAATCTGAGAGCAATAATTTACGATCTTTTGAGGTGAGGTTTGATTTTTACCACTGTGCTGTTCCTGTCTCCTAATATGTTGTATCAGATTGTAACTAAGTTGAGGTGAGAATTAATTGAGGACTATATATTTGAGCCTCCTTAGAATCTCACCCACCTTTGAGATAACTTCATGTTTTAGGTTTTCTCAAGTCAGAGTGTTGAGTCCTTAAATCAGTATATGCTGGGCAGTGAAAAAACACTGGTACACTTTGATTGCCTAAGCTTAGTGAACAGCAGGGGCGGTGGGAGGCAGGCCTTTTTAACACCTGTCTTTGCTGAGTTTCATGCTGAAAAAGCCTTGAGGCTCAGACTCAGCCCACAGGTCTCTGCAGTCCCTCCATCTCCCTTCTGCCCTTTCCATGCATAGCCTTCACAGCAGTTTTTTGTGAATTATTTATTTTTTTGAGCTCTCTCTTAAGGTTAATTTTTCTTAAGAAGTATTTACTCTCAATATTATAAAGGTGTAGAAGTTTATTGTAGAGAAATGTGGGAAAACATATTGGCAAAAAGAATATAAGGATAAAACCATTTAAGGTTTCCCCTTCCATCTATACTTATATTTATAGTTGGGCTCTAATGGCATTTAAATGCAAAATGTAATATACATGTTTATTTATATTTTTAAAATATTAATAATTGATTAGTTAATTCAACAATAATAATTGTTAACATTCCAGACACTACTATAAATACTCATGAATACAGCAGTGAACAAAATGGATAAAAATTCCTGACTTGTGGAAGTTATATTGTAATGGGGGAAGACGGGGTAAATAAACTATGTGGCATGCTTGGGGGGCGATGAGTAAAGATGGAGAAAAATTAGAAGGTTCAGGTCAATAGGAAGTGTGTGTTGGAGGTGACAGGTGGCAGGTGTACATTTTTCCCTCAGCTTAATTAAGGTTTAATTTGAAAACATTGTATATATTTATGGTATACAAGGTGATATTTTGATATATGTGTACATTGCAAAATGATTAAATCAAACTGATTAACATATCTGTCACCTCACATGCTTGCCATTTTATTGTTGTGAGAACATTTAAGATCAACTCTCTTAGCAATTTTCAAGTATTCTTTTGGCCCTTAGTATCTGTGGTTCTGCATCTGCAGATTCAATCAATCACAGATGGAAAATATTTAGAAAAAAATAAAAATAACAATATGACAAAAAATAATTCAAATATATAGTATAACAACTATTTACGTAGCATTTACATTGTCTTAGCTACTATAAGAAATGTAGACATTATTTAAACTACATGGAAGGATGTGTGTAAGTTATATGCAAATACTGCACCATTTTATATGAGGCGGTTGAGCATCTGCTGATTTTGTTGTCTCCAGGGTGAGCTGGAACTAGTCTCCCCTAGATATAAAGAGACAACTGAACAATATGTTATTATTAATTACAGTCACCATGCTATACAGTACATCTCCAGATCTTATTGATCTTGTTTAGCTGAGACTTTGAACCCTTTAACCAATATCTCCCCATCCCCACTGGGTGTAATTTTCAATAGCTAGTCAGGGAAGGCCTCACTGAGAAGGTGATATTTGAGAAAAGACTTGAAGGAAGTGTTGGGGCAAGAAATATAAATATCTAGCAAAAGAGCATTACAGGCAGAGGAGATGGTATGTATAGGCGCCACAAGGCAGGGGGATGGCTGGCATGCTTAACACACAGCAAGAAAGCCTCATCTCTTCTTCATGCCTGCCTCACATTCAATATATTTAAATATGGTTCCTTCCCCATCATAACCCTGCAATGGCCATTGCAGAAATCACCAATAACATTCATGTGTCTAAGTCTTATGGACATTTTTTTTTCAAGATGTATCTCTTCTCAGCAGAATTCAGCACTGCTGTTCCAACACATTTTTCCTTTGTGGCTTCAGTGTCAACTCTATTCTACTTTGCCTCCTGATTGCCCAGAAAACTCCCACATTTCTGGCTACAACTCCTCTATTTGATTTGTGGGCTTCTTTTCCTTTATTTGGCCATTAAATTCTGAAGCTCTGTGAGGCTGAGTTCCAGGCCTTCACATCTTTCAATGCTATACTATTGTCTAGGTCATTTTCTTCTCCAAAGCTTTGGTTATTACTTATTTGCCAATGAGTATATCAAATTGTTAATACAAATTGCATCCTCAGAGTTCCAGATGACAACTGCTACATGGTATTAATATTTGACTGCTGGATGATAGTTTTACTTGAATGTTTCAGGGGCACCTCAAACTCAACTCCAAAATTGATCTAATGAACTTTCCCAAACCACATTCCCTTCTTGCATTTCTGAGAGAATGGATTCCCATTCATCTGACTACAGTGCTACCCTGAAAGCAGATCCAGAGACTAAGATTCACCTGCAGGTGATTCATTTGGTAGGTATCATAATCTCTGGTAGGAGAACTGGGAAGTGGGGCAAAGACCCTTATAAAGAGTGAACTATGAAGCAGTTACCAGAATGGATAACTGTGGATTAAACTTGGAATAACTCTGAGATCCAGTGTAGATAACTCATCTCAGAAACATGCTGAGAGATAAAGGGTATTCGTACAACAGTTTCTGATAGTCATTAGTTATGGACTGTCTCCTAGCGGCATTGATTCCTCAGCATGCCCAACCTGCAGCAGGGACAGCAAAAGCGGCTTCTGTGATCAGAGAAAGCCCTCAGGTAAGGAAATGCAGGGGTGAATGCTGGAAGTCAGGCTGGCATGCACTGAAGTATTAGGGTGAGGCGCCATGGCAAGGTATCTGACCATCTTTCTAACCGTTCACCTCCATTTCCAATCTTTAAATACATTTTACTTCCCAAATATGTAATAATATGCATTTCCTTCAATTTCTACCACCACCTCTACTGACTGCCTCCATCTTTTTCAAATATACTTGCCTCATTCAGCACATTCACATTGTGCAACCACCACCTCTTTTGAGCTCCAAAACACTGCCATCACCCCATAGAAAACCCCAGTCCTCTTCCCCTCCATCCATGGCCGCCACCTGGAGTGTGTTTGGCCCATGGAGGACACTGCACATTGTTGGTGGGCATGATTAAATAGTTGCTGCTTTTCTGCAGTCATCACTGTATTTTGAGTGAAAGTTTCATAATTTTCAGTGTTTTATCTGGGTTGATAGGATCCAATTTTAGTTTTTGAGTTTCTTTTTTGAGCAACTATAACAATTTTAAGGATTAACATGTCATGACATTTATTCTTTACTAGAGGTCTTCCAAAGAACAAAGATAAATTTACTTATTTTAAAAACAGAATAAAATTCATCCTGTCTTGCAAAAATACACAAAAATACAAAAACAAATATACTTGCCTCATAATTAGTTTCACATTTACCCTTGTCCTTCTCTAAACTCTTCACTACCGTGGCCACAGTTACTGTTTCAAAAAGGGAGATGAAATCATGTCATATTCTATTCTCTGTGCCTGAAATCCACTTTTCACCCTCATCTCCCTTTATTTAAAGTATGTTATTCATTTTTCTAGGGTCTCAACTCAAGCATTCCTTTCTCAAGAAGCCTTTTATGGTATGAAGAGTGAGACAGAGTTCCCTGCGCCACCTCCATTGAATCATGTTAGGCCTTAATGTACCTTTCCTTTATAACACTTACTGAATGATTAATTTGGCATTTATTTACCTGGCTATTTTATTCAGTGTTTAGGATTTATACTAGATTGTAAGCTCCTCAAGAGTGTTCCAGGTCTAGTTTAGGTCACCATGTATCCCTGATTAGTACCACACATCCCAGTGCACCATGGTTCTCAACAAATAACATGTTATATAAATCAATAAATGACAGGAACAAAGATGTTTTTCAATTTGTATTACAATGTTTTCTACTATCTGGCAGAATCTTAGTAGGATTTAATAGAAATCAGGCAATGTCTACTCCTTAACCTGACTTTGAGAGAGAAACACTGATTTTTAAGAATCACTCCCAATTCTGACTTTTTCTCATCATTATGTGGGTGAGGTAGAGATATTTCTGAGGCTTTTTTGTTCCGGAACTTGTCTCCTTGGACATTTTAACTAGGTCATCACTAGATCATTGCTACATGAGGTATGGTCTATTGACCAGCAACATCAGTGTCAGCTGGAGACTTTTAGAAATGCAGAATCTCCATTCTGACTGGTGTGAGATGATAGCTCATTGTGGTTTTGATTTGCATTTCTCTAATGACCAGTGACGATGAGCTTTTTTTTCATGTTTGTTGGCTGCATAAATGTCTTCTTTGAGAAGTGTCCATTCGCATCCTTTGCCCATTTTTTGATGGGGTTGTTTGTTTTTTTCTTGTAAATCTGTTTAAGTTTTTTGTAGATTCTGGATATTAGTCCTTTGTCAGATGGATAGATTGCAAAAATTTTCTCCCATTCTGTAGGTTGCCTGTTCACTCTGATGATAGTTTCTTTTGCTGTGCAGAAGCTCTTTAGTTTAATAAGATCCCATTTGTCTATTTTGACTTCTGTTGCCATTGCTTTTGGTGTTTTAGTCATGAAGTCTTTGCCCATGCCAATGTCCTGAATGGCATCGCCTAGGTTTTCTTTTAGGGTTTGTATGGGCTTAGGTCTTACACTTAAGTTTTTAATCTATCTTGAGTTAATTTTTGTGTAAGATGTAAGGAAGGGATCCAGTTTCAGCTTTCTGCATATGTGATCACTAAAAAGTCAGAAAACAACAGATGCTGGAGAGGATGTGGAGAAATAGGAATGCTTTTACACTGTTGGTGGGAGTGTAAATTAGTTCCACCATTGTGGAAGACAGTGTGGTGATTCCTCAAGGATCTAGAACTAGAAATACCATTTGACCCAGTGATCCCATTACTGGGTATACACCCAAAGGATTATACATCATTCTACTATAAAGACACATGCACAAGTATGTTTATTGCAGCACTGTTCAAAATAGCAAAGACTTGGAACTAAACCAAATGCCCATCAATGATAGACTGAATACAGAAAATGTGGCACATATACACCATGGAATACTATGCAGCCATAAAAAAGGATGAGTTCATGTCCTTTTCAGGGACATAGATGAGGCTGGAAACCATCATTCTCAGCAAACTAACACAAGAACAAAAAACCAAACACCGCATGTTGGCTCACTCATCAGTGGGAGTTGAACAATGAGAACACATGGACACATGGAGGGCAACATTGCACACTGGGGGCTTTTCAGGGGTGGGGGGCTAGGGGAGGGATAGCATTGGGAGAAATACCTAATGTAGATGATTGGTTGATGGGTGCAGCAAATCACCATGGCACGTGTATACCTATGTAACAAACCTGCACGTTCTGCACATGTATCCCAGAACCTAAAGTATATATATCTATAAAAAGAAATGCAGAATCTCATGCCCCTCTGACTCAATAAGCATTTTAAAAAGTCTATCAGTATTTTGCATCACTTTGTTCCTCCAAGCCTTGGCCCAACACCTAGCACATAAGATGAAGTTTTGGGTGATGAATGAATATGCTAAAAAATAAGAGTGAAGGAATATATGAAAGGAGGGAAAGAACACCATGGGAAAGTGAAAATATATCATACTATGATATTTGAGTATTAGATCCTGACAATTTAGTTTCAACACTTTTGGTTTTGTATGATATGAGGAAATAGTGTTCACTTTGTCGGTATTAAGCTCATAGGTGTTAAAGCAAACTAAATATGGCCTGAGAAGGACTTGTACTTCCATATTTGAATCCTTGTGGATGAACTGTAACCTAGCTTAATAGGCAGACAAAATTGAAAACCTAACTTACGAGTATGCACCTGCAACAAATAGCTAAGTCTTAGCCAATCTCAGTGGCCATACTTCAATCATTAATACACTGATGAGGCAAATGCCAATCTGTAACCAATGCAGCTGTTCCTGTAACTCACTGCTGATTTCTGTATGTCATTTCCCTTTTGTTTGTCTATAAATTTACCACCACATGGCTGTGCTGGAGCCTCTGTGAATCTGCTGTGATTCTGGGGGCTGCCTGATTTGTGAATCATTCATTGCTCAATTCAACTCCTTTAAATTTAATTCAGCTGAAGTTTTTTCTTTTATCATATGTCTGGAAAAATCCTATAAGAGTAATGTAAACAGCATTTGGTTTCCAGGGTGGGATGCAGTTCCAGGAGAAAGGATACCATTCATTTCTTCTGAACGCCTTCAAGAGACATGTGAATGATAAATGTGCCTGATAACATCTCAGGCACGTTTGTGTTATGAGAGGAAACTAAGGAAAATCTGAAAGTTTCTTGGGTGTATAAATAGAGATGGCTGGAAGAAGATGGGGGAAAGTGAAAGCCATAACTGTTGAGAAAATTAAGCTTGTTGAAATATGCAAATTGGGTCTCGGCTCCATACACGGTGCTGATAGTTAGGACACTGAGACTGTCTCAAGAAGACAACCTTAAAGGCCTGAGAATCCAGTCTGTTTCCCTCTTCTAGGGCACCTCCTTCCCAGAAATGACACCATTAACACTTTTTAGCACTTATGTAAAGGTCTGGATCATTTGAAGTTACATGCCACTGTAGGACATTTTCTCTCTGAGTTGTTGGTAGACATTTATACTGTAGAGAAAATTTTGCACAATTTAACTATTTAGAAAATGAAACAAAAAATGGACAAATATGAAAAATATAGAAAAATTATTAATGGCACAGTTCATTTACATCAAATTGTTACTAATACTTTGCTGCATTACTATTTTTTCTACTTTGAATCATATTATGACTAATTTTGAATTCTACTTTTTATTCTATTTTTATCACTTTAATAGCCTATCTTAAGTCTTTACCCATATTTTGGGATAATCTTTAAAAATATTTACTTTAATACGGGGAAGCATTCTATCATGTACACATACTACAGTTCTTAACAATAATCTACTGGTGGATGTTTCATTTATTTACATATTCCATTCATTCTCCAGGGCTTATTTTTCAATGAGGAAGCTTGAAGAATTGAGATAGATAAGAGGAAATGTAAATGTACAAAGTAGAGTATGTCTGAGGGAGGAGTACGAAACCAAGAAGCTGAAACTCTTGTCACACTTTATTTATGTGATGATTTTAGAGCATTGGTCCTATTGGAAGGACACTGGCAGGGTCCCTAAAACAGCACATGCTGCACTGAAGAGAACCTTGTTTCTTAAATGAGCTCTAGGCAACAAGTACTTTTCCTTAGAACATTTATAGAAAATATGAGATACAACGAATGTCTTCGTGTACCTATGTATTGTTTTTATCTTTAACGATTAGGTATGCCTATCACGCAATGTTTTTTACAGATTTTGCTGTCAAAGGCTCCTCAGTGGCTGCTTCAGCCAGCAGCTAGGACTTCAGGTCAAAGTCCTGTTATGCTGATGCAGCTTCATTTCCTGAAGCAAGATCCCTCCCACTTCACTCTGATGGGAGAGTCTTCTTTCTTTACAACTATTAAGCTAAGATTTTTGAGTTAACATTTTAAAAATATATTTTTCCTTTTATTTTTAGTTGACATGTAATAATTATATTTATGAGATATAGAGTACTAGTCCAATACACATAGACAATACGGGATGATCAAATCAAGGTAATTAGCACATCGCCTCATGCATTTAGCACTTCTTTGTCTTGTGAACATTCAAAATCCTCTCTTCTAGCTTTGTAAAAATGCACAATAAATTATAGTTAACTATATTCACCTTACAGTACTACAGAAACATTTAAAACATTATTTCTTGAGATCTTGGTTCTTTAGGTGACTGTTGTGGTGGTGATTAATCAGTATCATGAAAATACTTATGTTGTCTATCATGGTATTTCAGAAGACTACAGTTATAGAGCTGGGTGCATACAATTACCAACCACAATGATATGCATTTACATATTTCACCTTTTGACCTATTTCTTCATGAATATAGTTCATCTGTTTATAACTCTTATACTTGTGTGACTGTTGATAGAAGGCCTGAATGTTTATGCTTGCAAAAATGTGTGTTATCGCTTATTTTATTGTGTAAGGTGATCTTTGAAGTGTTCTGTTGTGTTTTTATTTTTGTGTTTTTATATGTTACTCAAATAAATACCTTTTAAAAATGTAAATAAATATATCTTAAAGAATTTTTAAAATTATTTTTTCCAGAATTAAATTTTCAGGATTTCAGTCTTTTGGGATGGCGATTTTTGGAATTTTAGACTTTAAGGATTTTGTTCTTTTGATTTTCAACATTCGATTATGGTGTTTGGAACTGTGTCTTTCAAGATTGTGATTGATTCCAAATGCAACACAGGGTTAAAGGAAAGTGGAAAAGACATGAAAAAAATCTGAGCTGTGCCTTACCTGAAGCTGTTGTGTGAGAATTATAGAAACATGTAGAGAGTAGACATCTAAAGTTAGGTTACTGTCTGCTGGAATACATGAGTCAACCTCATCCTCCTTGGTCTCCCATTTGAGAAAGTGTTCAGCAAAGAGGAACACAGTGGCGCTCACATCCAAAATTTCTTAGAAGGCCTTTAAAAGGGTCAGTGTTGGAAGGTAACATTATCAAGTACAGCAGTTATTTGGAGCCCACCCAATAACCATATTGTGGTTACAAGCAGATGTAAAGGGCACTGCAGTCTTTCCTGATTTAGGAAGCACCGATTACACCTGACTCTTTAGGAGAGTATGTAGCAGACACATTTTGAGCCATGGCTATCATACCCTGGACAGCTCCTCTTGGAGGAGTGGTGACTAAGAGCACGCTGTGTGTACGCTCAGTCTTCACTGCTGACCTCCAGTCTCCACCTGCTTCATTTTTAAATAAATGTGCCAAGGTTTATTTTTGACCCTTCTGGATCATCCAACATTTCCAAGTGGACTCATCTAGGGATAACAGTGAGAAAGTTTTGGGAAGATCTCAAAAAGTGTTTCTTTAACTGAGATCTTAATTGGTTCAGCCTTCAGGGAAAAAGGGAAAGATGATGAGGCCTGGGTCTAATCTGAATAATCAGTTGACCTTAAGCCTGAATCAGAATATCAAATATAATTGGAAGCCTTGATATATGTTTTTATACTAACATAGCTATGTTTTCCCACAAAATAGATGATACTGGATTTAGGACTGAAAATGTAAGAGAAAGGGGTTCTATGAAGTCCAAGGATATAAAGACAGAAGTCAGTTATGGCAAAGAATTTACAAAACGCTTCAAAGGCTTATCTATCTCTTCCCTTCTTTCTACAATTCTGCACATGTGCCAGCCCCAAGGATTCTGTACTTATGTTGAGATTTTTGGATCAATATCTGTTTTAGTGGCACTTAACTTTAAACTATTTGCCCACTTGTTTCATGAATTTGTCATTTTAGTTTCACTTAAGAAGTACATTGTCAAACTATAGTGAATTTGGCGAAGAACAACTAGAGGGGACTTAGAAGTACGGAAAATGAGTAACAGTAGAAGGAATTGGGATATTTAAATTGGAGAACAAAAAGTTTTCTTGAAACAAATGAAGGGTAATTAATAAAGCAATTGAATTTGTCCCATTTAATCTCTAAAGTACAGAATTACTATAATTCTATAGGGTGACACATTTTAATTCATCATGGAGACTTACTTTTTAACAGAGAAATATATGCAATGATGGAACGAGCTGAAGAACAATACTTTCTATCAGTTGCTTTTGTCAGATATAGGTTGGGAAAGTGGGAGAGGGTATCTAAGCATCAGATGCAAATTTCTTTCAATCTTGAAATTCCATGATACGATCTAAGATATTTCAAGAAAAAAACCATTCAGGTTGATTTCAACAACATAAAAAACTGTAATGGAAAATATTAAGGCTAATTAGAACGTGAAGTTTTATTAACATTGATAATAATAATATTTTCTAAGGAACACTAGTTGACAGCAGACAAAGGGAGGGGGGATGAAATACTGGAATTGTGGTCAGCAAAGCCCCAGGGTTATGCCACAGGACTACAAGTACTCCAACTCTATTAAGGAAGAAATTGCTAATTTTTTTTTTTCCCCTGAAGCAATGTGTGTGGAAGTCTTTCACTTTCTGAGCCAAAACTTGAGGAGCTGACCCTGAGGTGGCAGTTTTCCTGGGGGAGCTGCTTAGATAGCTTTTCATGCAGGGATAGTCCCTCAATGCATTACCTTTCAGAGGCTATGGCATCAGGCCTCTATCCAGAAGGGGAGGAGGACTAGAGAGCGCTCAGGGGAGAGGGCGATAAGAGAGAGATTTGCTTGTCTAGGTGATGTTGCTGAGTAGCCCAGTGTGGACTCTGTGTCAGAGAGCTCCAAAGTACAGCAGCAACTTGGGGTCTTTACAGCCCCAGAATTTATCTTATCTATGGCATTTGAGTTAACAGGATTCAGCTTACTGTAAAGAAGTAAACACCCTAGGGGGCTATATAAAGAAGCCCTCTTTGGCCCATTTGTCTAACAGATGGTCTCTGAAATTGTTTGCAGTGACTTTTTACCTTTTTTTTTTTTGCTGTGTTTTTCCAGATTTAGACATTTATACTTTCTCTCAAGCTCATGTCATGCCAACAAAAAGTAGAGAATTAAACTAATTAGTCTACACTAAGGTTTCCATTTACAAAAGAGAATTTATTTTAATATTATGAAAACAACATGTGCTTATTTTAGAAAAAAATAATAACACAGGAAAGTATAGGAAGTTTAAATCATCCACAATACCATTTCTAAGACCATTTCTAGCCTCCTCTGTTTCTCTGTATTTCGTATATTAGATATCTATGTAATTATTTTCAAAATTGGAATCGTAGTGCATGCAGTTTTGTTAATACTTTTGTTTAATATATCATGTGTCTTTCCCCATAGCACTACGTGTTCTTTGAAACATGATTCTTAATGAGAACATTATAGTCCATTTTTATCAATGTACTTTATCCTTCTGTCTGGGGGCACTTATAATTTTATGCAAAATCTCTGTAAATTTGTGAAAATATTCTCAGAAATAGATAACGTGTGTGTATTTTTAAGATGTTTACCTCGTTTTTGCCCATTTAACTCCATAGCAAGGTAAGCTGTCATCAGTTGGAGGTAAGCAGAAGACAGTAGAGAGTACAGAGCCCTGGACTGTGACTCAGAGGATGAGCACCAGATCCAGTTTGCTGTGCCACAGTGGTAAGTCACCTAACCTTTATGTGCTTGGATTCCTCATATGTAATACAGGATCACAACTATTGTTCTCACTCATGCAATACTACTATTGTGAGAACCTCATGAATTAGAGAAACTCTGAATTTGCAATTTAGCTTTAGAACACTGACAAGTAGCTCATTGATTCTTGCCTCATTCCTCTGGAATAAAGTAGCTTTTTATCAAACAAGTGAACACATTGCTTTCAGTGGAGGCAGAAGGAATTCATTTTGAAAAATGCACATAGCATTCTCCAACCCATTTTTGCATATTCTTTTTTAAGGGAATGCCTTGTGTGAGAGGACTAGCAGGGTATCAGAACTGTTTTTTGAAAGAACTTTGTTTGCAGGTGCTTTCAAATATGTTGTCTTCAACTATCATTTTCAGTGTAAAAAGCGGGCTTGGAGTAAGCACTGCCTGCAGACCACTTTTGTGAGCCCTCCTTTCAGTGATGTGATGGCAATCCAGGCCCCTGCTGGGAGAGATTTCTGCCTGGTTAAACCTCTCACAGCTTCTAATCCTCTCTTTCTCATCTGGCTTTCCTTAGCCTTCTCCAAAGTCACTCACAGAAGGCATCCCACTCAACCTCACCTTGGGGTAAATCAAAATAGTCCTCCTTCTGAAGCTACCGGGTAAAACGGTGGTAGCTGTGCAGCTGCTGCTGATCAACAGGCTCCAGAAACAGCAGCAGGAGGTGAGCAGTCCCTGCGTTGGCCACCAAGTGGTAGGTGGCCAGCCCTACCTCCAAGTTGCACTGTTTACTTATTCATCTTTCATGGTAAAGCCTCCAGTTGCCTATTATGAAATCAGCAATAATCATGTGTCCCCTGTCTGGGTCCCTGAAAAGATGGAAAGAGGCAGATCAGGCTGGTGCTCTGAGAATGACAGACATCAAACAAGAATGAAAAGTGTCACCCTCCTTGGACTTATTCAGTAACTCATGCCCTTGAGCAAAGGAGGATTTTCTATCAAAGGACATGGATTTCTGTGTCTTTCTCTTGAGATAACATTGCTGGGTGACCACAGAAAGCTGGCTCTGGAAGCACAGAAGCTGCCTTTCCTTGAGTAATAATGTCTCTTCAAAGGGAGCTGGAGCATGAGTAGTGTACATGCCTCAGATTTCAGTGAAAAGTTCAGAGGAGGCCTGAGAAGAAGGTCCTGGGAATGAATCATCTAGATGACTCAACCTTGCAAAGCCATCCACCTCATTGTGGATATCATTCAATACATTTGGTGCTCCATCATCCTATTTCCATGGCTATTTCCTCACATTTTTCAAAGTCTGTTTCTTGAGCCCTGACTGTGTCAAATAGCATGCCCTGTTATTCTTGGGCTTCCCTCTCTGTTCTAGTATTCAGGGAGATTTCAGAGGCTGGGGTAAATCTCAGACCAAGAAGACGCAATGGTTTTGAGGTAGAGATCCTAGGAATATAGAATTCTGAGCTATGCAGTGGTCCTTTGCTTTCAGGAAATCAAGTTTGATAGTATCACCTGAAGCATACTTACATTATCCACAAATGACAGCTCCTTACTTGAGCAGTTAAATTGTGGCAAGTCTTAACACACAGATTCCTCTTAAATGCCACCTAATCCCTGCCTGGCTTCAAGCCTCTGGCTTCCCTTGGAGAGGGGCAGAGTCTCTCTGTGTGAGAGATTCTTCATTTCTGCTTTCTGCCCTGTCAGTTTCTACTTACTTGCTCTTCCACCTTGTCCACAAGGCTTATCTAGCGGCTGTTTACCTCTGAGCAGAGAAAATGGAAGTCAGCAGAGACAAGGTTGAAATTTCTCAGGAAGGATTTTTTTTTTCCACTTTATCGTGCAGCAAGAGTAAAGCCTTTTTTTCGGTGATTCTTTCCTCCACAATGGCCATTGGCTGCCCTCTGTCACACACAGGTGTGACTCCCTTGTTATTAACTGTCAGGTGGGAATTTCTAGGGAAGAAGGAGAGTGCTTTGTTAACCTCTTAACATCTCCCCAAATTGCATCATATTCTCTCCCTTTCCCCTCCCAGTTACCTTTTCTATTTTTGATTTCCCCTTTTTCAGTCTGATTTGGGGATTTCAGTTCCCACTAACTTTGTATAATATCCTCCTATCTCTGAAAGAACAAGTTCCATCTCCATTTTCCAGGAGAGTTTTTTTCCTTGCAGTAAGAGCACCCCATCATCTCTCCATTTCTACCTCCCCATCCCAGTGCTCCCTTTATGGCAGTACAATTGAAGAGGGACCCACAGTCTTGCTGAAGGAACATGACCTTCCTACTGAAGTTGGGATTACGGAATAGAGGGAGAAGAGGAAAGATGGATGTTTATCTGAATGGTCGGATCTTGTTTTCCAGAGGACACAGGCCAATGGGAAACTTTTGGGAAGGAAGTCAAAAAATCAAAGCCAGAACTGGGTTTTGGTAATTTAATCTCCCAAAGAGAGAAAAGTCCCCATACTCTAATTCATATTTTGTTTGACTTGACTGAAGCCCTTTTGAATATTTTTTCTGCTTCTGTTCTGTTCTTGCAATAACAATGACATAAGTTTGCCTTTGGAGACATTAAAATAGTTTTCTCATCTCTTGTTCCAAGCATTTATTTTATTTTATTTTTTTGGCGTATTTATTTATTTATTTATTTATTATTACTGTACTTTAAGTTTTAGGGTACATGTGCACAATGTGCAGGTTAGTTACATATGTATACATGTGCCATGCTGGTGCGCTGCACCCACTAACTCGTCATCTAGCATTAGGTATATCTCCCAATGCTATCCCTCCCCGCTCCCCCAACCCACAACAGTCCCCCGAGTGTGATGTTCCCCTTCCTGTGTCCATTTGTTCTCATTGTTCTCACCTATGAGTGAAAATATGTGGTGTTTGGTTTTTTGTTCTTGCGATAGTTTACTGAGAATGATGATTTCCAATTTCATCCATGTCCCTACAAAGGACATGAACTCATCATTTTTTATGGCTGCATAGTATTCCATGGTGTATATGTGCCACATTTTCTTAATCCAGTCTATCATTGTTGGACATTTGGGTTGGTTCCAAGTCTTTGCTATTGTGAATAATGCCGCAATAAACATACGTGTGTGTGTGTCTTTATAGTAGCATGATTTATAGTCCTTTGGGTATATACCCGGTAATGGGATGGCTGGGTCAAATGGTATTTCTAGTTCTAGATCCCTGAGGAATCGCCACACTGACTTCCACAATGGTTGAATTAGTTTACAGTCCCACCAACAGTGTAAAAATGTTCCTATTTCTCCATATCCTCTCCAGCACCTGTTGTTTCCTGACTTTTTAATGATTGCCATTCTAACTGGTATGAGATGGTATCTCATTGTGGTTTTGATTTGCATTTCTCTGATGGCCAGTGATGGTGAGCATTTTTTCATGTGTTTTTTGGCTGCATAAATGTCTTCTTTTGAGAAGTGTCTATTCATGTCCTTCACCCACTTTTTGATGGGGTTGTTAGTTTTTTTCTTGTAAATTTGTTTGAGTTCATTGTAGATTCTGGATATTAGCCCTTTGTCAGATGAGTAGATTGTGAAAATTTTCTCCCATTTTGTATGTTGCCTGTTCACTCTGATGGTAGTTTCTTTTGCTGAGCAGAAGCTCTTTAGTTTAATTAGATCCCATTTGTCAATTTTGTCTTTTGTTGCCATTGCTTTTGGTGTTTTAGACATGAAGTCCTTGCCCATGCCTGTGTCCTGAGTGGTAATGCCTAGGTTTTCTTCTAGGGTTTTTATGGTTTTAGGTCTAACGTTTAAGTCTTTAATCCATCTTGAATTGATTTTTGTATAAGGTGTAAGGAAGGGATCCAGTTTCAGCTTTCTACATATGGCTAGCCAGTTTTCCCAGCACCATTCCAAGCATTTATTTTTCAAGCACCGTATGTGGGCCTTTTGTTCTGTGGAGAATAGGGGAAATAAATTTAAATTTATTTTTTTCCATACACATTTGCAAGAGTTTTTGTAGTGTCTTTTTTTTTTTTTTTGGCTTATCAACATTTTTGTTTTTTAAAAACTTTTCTATCCACCAACTCTGTCTCTTTTGCAGTTCATTTGGGTATAAAGTTTTGCTTAAGAGGTGTATCAACCTCCTAGAGTGAGGCTTTTGAGAAGAGGGGCTACTTCTAAACTTCTATCACTTATGTCCATTTTCTTAATTTTATACCCAATACATGTGTGGCAAAGTTTGTTAGCTACATATTTAACACCCAATTTTATTATCTTCCTAACTAATACAACCTCAATTTTATTCAATTTGAGAATGTGCCCAGTTTAAAAAATTAGATGTTGCAGTCTCTTCTGTTTATGGTGATTATCATTTGACATGCTTATGTTCCGATATATAAACGGAATATAGTTTTGCCGCTGTCTGACACTTCAGCAGCCATCTTCAGGTAATAAGGTGAACTTAAGGAAAGAAACACATACTACAAAAGATTTGTCAAAAAGGCAGGGAAGCCTAGGTCCCTGATGATATCTTGGCACTGCCCACCTCTGGACTGCAGTGGACTGATTATCTTTAGAAGCACGCATGAGAGAAGAAAACTAAACCTTTATGTTGCATAAATTACTGTAGCTTGAGTTTCTATTATATGCAGCTGAATCTAAGTCTACTATGTGCAGCAAATTTGAGTCCCTGGATAGATCTTGAGTTTCCAACACTTAAGTAAAATGTGGAGTAATTGAACTACTTAATAAAAAGTAATAATTATTTATTCCAACCATAGATACTTTGCTTCTTTGGCCATAGTTGAATTATTATCTTTTAAAAATGGTTCTGTTTTTATTAAGATGACTAGTAGTATATACTTTTGATAGATAAATGGCTTATGTTCTTTAAAAGAGATGAGTGCCCAGTTTGCTCATAATAAAAACTCGGAAGAGATAAACGTTTAAAATATGTTCTTATAATAAACACAGATAAATAAAACGTAGGTATCCATGGTGTACATGTGCCACATTTTCTTAATCCAGTCTATCATTATTGGCCATTTGGGTTGGTTCCAAGTCTTTGCTATTGTGAATAGTGCTGCAGTAAACATACATGTGCATGTGTCTTTATAGCAGCATGATTTATAATCCTTTGAGTATATAACCAGTAATGCGATGGCTGGGTCAAATGGTAATTCTAGTTCTAGATCCCTGAGGAATCGCCACACTGACTTCCACAATGATTCAACTAGTTTACAGTCCCACCAACAGTGTAAAAGTGTTCCCATTTCTCCACATCCTCTCCAGCACCTGTTGTTTCCTGACTTTTTAATGATCGCCATTCTAACTGGTGTGAGATGGTATCTCATTGTGGCTTTGATTTGCATTTCTCTGATGGCCAGTGATGATGAGCATGTTTTCATGTTTCTTTTGGCTGCATAAATGTCTTCTTTTGAGAAGTGTCTGTTCATATCCTTTGCCCACTTTTTGATGGGGTTGTTAGTTTTTTTCTTGTAAATTTGTTTGAGTTCATGTGGCACATATACACCATGGAATACTATGCAGCCATAAAAAATGATGAGTTCATGTCCTTTGTAGAGACATGGATGAAGCTGGAAACCATCATTCTCAGCAAACTATCGCAAGGACAAAAAAACCAAACACCGCATGTTCTCACTCATAGGTGGGAATTGAACAATGAGAACACATGGACACAGGAAGGGGAACATCACACACCGGGGCCTGTTGTGGGGTGGGGGGAGTGGGGAGGGATAGCATTAGGAGATATACCTAATGCTAAATGACAAGTTAATGGGTGCAGCACACCAACATGGCACATGTATACATATGGAACACACCTGCAGGTTGTGCACATGTACCCTAAAACAAAGTATAATAAAAAAAAGGTAGGTATCAAAAACATAACAATTCAAACCCTCTTTTAATTAAAGTTGGTTCTTGTATTAGTAGTAAGCAGGGAGCTTGGGGGGAGAGATGTGTACAAGTGTAGATGGGAGGTTCCCAGGTAAAGTTCTTGATTGGGAAGGTTCATTTGATTGTATGACATGTTCCTCCATTCTCTCTGTCTCTGTCTTTTGTTTTTGTTGTTGTTGTTCTAAGCATCTAGAATGAAAACCACAAGGCCAGGGTTTGCTATCAAGGACCACTCTTTCCTTTTCAGAAAAAGCTGGTTCTGAGTGAAATAGAAGGACTAGGGTGCCAAATTAACTCCTCTCCACAAAGTGACCCCACATGGAAAAGTACTTGAGAAGCTCTGTAAAGACATGGTAAAAGCTTACCAAAGACAGTAGCATTATCCTTTCCCTTACACACAAAGTGGAGGGGAAGTGTGGGTAAGTGGTGTGTCTAAAAGCATTGCTTTAAATTATGCATCCATTTGTAAACACTAATTTTTTGTTAACTCCATGTTGTTTGTAAATTGAACAAAAAATGCATATTTGTCATGGAAAAATTAGGAAATAAAGATATTAGCATAAAAGAGGAAACAACGAATCTTAATTACCCATAATCCCATGACTTCATGTTTGTGTAAGATTATATAATACTATTGTTTCATGATCTGCCATTTTCACTCAGTGACATATTTTGCACGTGAAATACGTTTTACATAAATATTTGTATAATTTGACTAGTTATTACCTTAAAACTACTGGAAAGAAATCCCTTAGTTCTTCTACTTCACTCATTTCTTCTCTACAGTATTCATTTCTGGGGTAAATCCAGCTCTTTGGCTTGCATGGCCATGTAGTTCTGAAGTTAGCTACACAGGACTTAGCCACATTTCCCAGAATAGGATGTATGGTACAGCAGAATTCTTACTGAACTTGAAGTCAGAAGAACTGGTTCCTTCACTTACTATGGGTGACCTTGGACAGTATACTTGATTTCTTTGAATCTCATCAGTGAAATGAGTATGGGAATGTCTACCTTAACTGTGTGATGACAGAATTTGTGAGGATGAACTGAACAACTATATAAAAGTGTTTGGGAAATGCTGAAGAGCCCTACAAATGAAAGACATTAATAATATTAACTGAAATAGATTCCATAAATACTATGTGTAAGATCCTACCTTGATTTACCGCATTTAATCATCAAATCCACTGTCTGACAAAAGTATTATCATTAGTTCTATTTTATAGTCTAAACAAATCTAGGCAGAAAGGTCAAATAATTTGCATAAGCTCACACAATCAGTGACTTAGATTTGATCCAATCTATTTCATTCGATAGTGTTGGTCTTTTCCCCTAATAGTAGTAAAAACTGTGGGCTCCATTGTTAGCCTGCCTGAGATCAGATGCCATCTCCAACTAGGCAAGTTACCTTTTCTGCCTGTTTCACTCTTCAAAAATTAGAGATACAATAATACCAACCCAATTTCTTTGGGTTTCATAAGTAGGAAATAAAATAATACATAGAAAAGACTTGGAACATTGCCTGACACAAAATAGGTGTCTTAAAACGTTAATTATTATTATTTTCAATGTTGCCAAGACAGCGAACCCTGTGGTGGTGAATTTGCATGTGAAAACCTGTTAAACTGATACACACTCTTTCTTTTCTCCTAATATTGTCGCACTTGCACCTTATGTCCTAAGTTTTCTAGTAATCTTGAATGTACATAATGTTTAGTTGTGAAATAAATTTTGCTTTGTGAGGGAATTAGTTGTAATTGAGGGTAGAATCAAAGTTTGTTCAGCGAATTCCATCTATTCAGTTGTAAAGGCAGCGAATAAACACCATGACTTGTATTTGAAAGTAGAAAATACCGACTTTCAATTGTCATTTCCCCCGAGGAAACCATTAACCAGCACAATTGTTTTTAAATATCAACCTGAAATAACACTGTATTTTTACTGCTATTCTTTCTCTCTCCTTCTCTCTCTTTGGGATACAGTTTGGCTTTGAAAAAATATGGTATATATGCGGTGTTTGGTCAAATAATTTAGCACTATGGAAAAGGTTGTGAACCAGTCATAGTATTTGAGGTTGTAAGAAGAAACCTTTGAAAAGGTAGTGGCTGCACAAATGTATTAACTTAGTACCACAAAGTAGGGAGTTCTGAAACTGTGGTGGAAATATTGCCTGCCTTGACTACCTGTTCTTCCTGAGTCCATTTGCTGATCAGAACTCAGGTAACTTAAAAGTCATATACCCTGGAAAGGAGTATGGAAACAGGAAAGATCCTCAGCGGCTATACAAGTGAGAGATATGGCAGAGTTCTAATAAGATTGACTAAAAGCTTGATACTGTCTTACATCAAAGGAGCAAATAATTGTTCTACCTGGAATGTCCAGGCCCCAATTCACAAATGCATTCCTACCTTTTGAACTGAATAATGATCTCTTTCCCAATAAACTGTTATAAGACAAAAAATCTGAAAGGAAAATTGTTGCACATACATCATATTCTTATATTCTGTATTTTCTGGGACAGTCTGTTTCAGATTAGATGATGAGTCCTAATTCAGGTTTGCAAAATATTATCAAGGCAAATCTTTATGGAGATTTTATTGAGATATTATTTTATAACAAAAAATGGGATAACTGTAATGTTCATCAAAAAAATTGGTGGTAGAAGGAAGGAAGGTGTTGGAGTGTTCAGTAACCTTACCCCAGAATGCCACAGTACAAATTCTGTGAGAAGTCATTCTTGTGTAGTAGAGGCATTCATTTTTCTCCTAATATCCCTTCTGAAAATTCCCTTTTGCTAGTCAGCTCTTAGCTTCTTGGAAAGAAGGCCCTTCGTCTAGGACAATGTTCATCTCCCCACATAAAAATTCACAATTCATGGCATGTTAGTTCAATAAAATATTATGCTTTCTAAGAATGATAATTATGAAAACTTGCTATAAATGGGAGCAAGTTCAACATTAAATCACATGAAACAGACATATTAACAAAAATAGATACATTAGAGCAATTGAACTATAAATGCTTTTTTCCTTTAAAAATTTTCCTTCATGTTATTTTCACATTCTTTTAGCAACAAATGACAATGAACTGCCATTGATTTTATTTTTTGAACTTAAGCAGTGTATCCACAAGTACACCATTGCCCTGTCCAATTTTTAGGGGGAGATATTCTATTATCTAAAACTCAATAAATTGACCCATCACGTTTTTGGTGATACCTTATTTAGGTAAAAATATTAGGCATTTAGAAGAATGCATTTGTGAATATTTTGACTGATATTACTATAGATGGAATTAGAATCTGCCCTTTAGGGGCTCAGAAGGAAGTAATGTTTGGATGTCATTAGGCTAAAATATTTTATTTATTTTATTTATCAGGGTAGAATATTGCTCTTGAACCACTTTGGAAGGAATTTTACCAGGTACTTTTAACCACAACACAGCAGTGAAATTGCAGAAAGTCAATAGTTGGGTTCATATTTATAAACTGTAACCTAAAAATAAATCCCTAAAACCCACCACTGATTAAATAGTCCATCTCTTGGCCTAGGGAACCCCCTAAAAATCTAAAAACTTTTTCCAACCATGACTAAACAAGAGATCAGACACGCCTCGTTATACCTACTCCCCTTTGTGGTTTAGTCACAGCAGTGACCAACACTCATGTTAAAATAGAGATCTTAAGACTGACAGAAGAGTGGCAGTAAGATGTCAAATTATAAACAAGACCTAAGGCCTTGCCAGGCAAGGATTTTGCCACTCACTTCTACACTTAAAAGATAAACTATGTTTTAACTGCCAATAGGTTATTCCTTTTCTCTAGTGGCTCAGTAAGCACTGGCACTGAGACAAGCACTATGAAGACAATTGCAGCCCATCCCCTGATGAACTGACCCCCTGTTCCACAAGCCATAACCCCAGCTTTGATTGAACATTTGCTATCAGGATCTTTTTCCTGATCAGAGGCCACTGACCATGGCCTGGCTCTGGCCGTTTACAGAATGTGCACCCTGAGTGCCTTTGTGTCTCTGCTTCTGCTATTTGCACATAGGGCCTGACTGTAATGGATTTAAATGCTAAGTCACCACTGGTGAGTGAACAGGGCTCATAAGCTTCATGTGTGTTTGTTCAGTATGCGTGTGTCAGGACAACCTCCATGAACATCCATAGCACCTCCTGTAACCTGTTGATTAAGTCTGTTTAACCAAACAGTTCAGCATAAAGCTTCTGCCCAACCCCTTCTTCTTGGGAGTGCCTGTCTCTCATTTTTACCAAATCTATGCTTTCCAGTGTATAGGATGGCTGTAACCCTTGATAAAAATATAGTCTCAGTTTCCTAATTTGTAGATTGTGGTATTTTTAAATATTTAATACAACTGAATATTAAATTCAGAACTTCATCTAATTATTAGACTACTTTAGTAAAGTATGACAAACTGTGGATATCCTATAATAATTTTTATATACCCTATAAGGGCCTGTGATATTTTGAAGCAGGAAGCTGACCTGAGACCTTCAGAATAAACTGATCACTGTGGATAATGAAAAGGCCCCACCCAGGACATTGATTGAGCACCCCTGCCTGTCTCATTCCTTCTTCTCTTTCTTTTTATTATGTGCTTACCATAATAAAAATTTTTATTGTCTTTAGATCTGTTTGCTTTTCACACATAGTGGACTCTTATCTCTCTTTTTCACTCATTTTCTTAAACTGCTAGGGAGAATAAAGTGTCAGGTCCTATTTTGGTGCTCACTGCTGATGAATTAAGGTTTATTCTTCTTCTTCCTTGTCCCCCACATATGGGAAATCTAGTAAGAAATCGTAGAAGCTCCCTTATCTGATGCCAGTGTGAGGTTTAAATCACACAAGCTCCTTCTCCTGAGTAGAAACGTGCCCCTACCCCCAACCCCACCACCAAATCATTATAAAGCCCTGAGCCAGCCTCCTTTCCTGTTCCATTGAAGAAATTCCAGTTTGGAATTTCTTGAGAGGCCTGTGCTGCTCTCAGCAGACAATAATAGAGTTGGTAAATCTTTTCATAACCACCTGAGGTGTGAGTGTGGCACTATCAGACCTGACATCCACACTAACAATTGGTGGGCTCTCTCTTCTTTTGCATGGGGTCACCTACAATTGGAACTATGGGTTTGGAGTCCTGACAGTGACCACCACGGGGCCTTTCTTCTTTTGCACTGGATGCTAACTCCCTCTGCCCCAGTGCCCAGCATGCACTTTATCCTGCCTGCTGCTCACTGACCCTTGGAGTTCTGTTGAGCTGGGCTGCAGTGTTGAGTTAAACACCACACCTTTTATAGATTTAGCTGATTGAATTCAGAAGCATTGATAATTTATTCACATTGAGAAACAGGAGTGATTGTAGGTGACTCTGCCTTTGGTGCATGTGAGAAAATTTTTCTCTTGTCACCACAAATGTTTCTTCTTCAGGAAGAACAGGATAAGGAATCCAGAGAAGTGCCCCAGAGGAAACTGTTTCATGGAGAGGAAGCCACAGGGCTGACAGGAAACCAGACCTTAGCCTCCCTCTGCACCTGCCCTGAGGCTGGCTTTTGTGCTCAGTGGGTCCTGAGTGCCCCCAGCTGGTCCTGTTCCCTCTTCAGGGAGGCTTGTTTCTGGGCTCATACTGACATTTTTTCTAATTGTGTTCCCCAAAATGGAGACAGAGTAAACCGTGAATCCATGCATCTCAGAGAACAGAGAACAGCAGAATTACACCCACTGATCCCCCCCACACACATTTAGGTAAATCTTATTAAAACTGCTGAAAAGGAAAGACAAATAGAAATATACGCAGGCAAGTGGAGGTGAGCAGAGGGGGCATTCCTTCCAAAAGAACAGAAAAGATGATGACAGCATTCTTCTGGTTAAAACCTTACAAGCAAGAGGAAAGTTGATGGTATCTGTAAAGTGTTGGATGAAAAGTCAACCCATTATTTTATAACGCATGGGTGTTCTCTAAAAAGTGAAAAAAAATTCTATTTCTCTTTGACAGCATGAGGGTTTCAGTGAATCCAGGCCCTCATGAGACCAGTGAAAATTATTTTGAAAAATTACAGGGTTTGGAAAGGCTCTAACAACATAAAGCAAGTGAAGAAATATTTATTCAAGAAAATCTAGAAAACTCAGTAAGGCCAGTCATCATACTTGATCTAAGATGCTCTTCCTTCCTTCCACATCCCAGCTCAGCATGATGTAAACTCCACTGCGGACAGATGCAGCCAAGAAGACAGGTCACCTTCTACCAACTCCCACCAGAGGAAACTCTTCCCCAGGACCCAGTACGTTGGCCCTCTGACCCTGCACACAGCACATGATGCTGAGGTTCAGTGCTGAACAAGAGCTACTGAGAGCCAGAGATTCACTTCTTCCATGGAGCCCCACTCATGGATGGAGGCTCTGTCCCGGGTCCAGTGCCACTGGGAACACTGGGTCTCTGGTTTCTAGCTCTGTCCTATGGCAGAGGTTCCACCCCACAATAACCGAAGTGCTGAGAAGGTGGGAAGCTCCTGCCCGACCCTCCACTGAGAGCTCAGCTCCTAGGCTGAGGAATAAAACAGCTCAACTTTGTCTACACCTGCAGAACCTTGTTTAGGAGCTCTGTCCCAGGAGAGAGGGGGCAATGGAATTCAGTCATAAAATATGATCCTTAATTAGTCCTAAAAATCCTAACTTCAGTAACAGCAGATTGTGGACAAATTGAAAGCCTGCCAGTGCTCTCAAAAACAGTGGATGGTGTGGTGGAAAGCCCTTGGAAGGAGACGGGTGGATGCATGGGAGATGCAGGCTACACTGCAGGGCTGCTGGCTTGCAGGAGAGAACCGAGGACAAGGGAGAGCTGGGGAAAGTTCTCTTGTGGTTGAAATAAATGCCAGACACTCTTCAATGGAGCCCATGTTTGTTTGGTTCAGTCTGTGAAGTAATTCAAACCTCAGTGCATGATTGAAAATAGTACAATTTTCCATCTGCAAGTGGCAGAGCTCAACATCTGGGTCTGGTCAGGAGAGAGACAGAGAGAGCCCAGCCCAAACCACTGACACCTGGGGTTGACAGTGCTGCTTACAGATGTGTTCCTTTGATCTTTGAGACTGGTTTCTCTCACTTAGCATAATGCCTGGAGTTCAACTGTAATGGTTTGTGAATCGATCATTTGATATTTTTTATTGCTGATGGATTCAATTTATAGATGCTTCCTAGTTTTTTCACCTACTCAAATTTTGAGACATTTATGTTATTTTTCATTTCTAACACACACACATGTAATATCTTGAATATTTGAATAGAGGTTTTGTGTGAAAATAAGATTGTATTTCTCTGAAGCAAAATTCAAGAGTGGGATATTTAGGTCATGTGTTAAGGGCATGTTTGATTGCAGAAAAAACTAAAAATTATTTTCCCGAGTAGCTGTTTCATTTTGCATTCCCATTAACAATGTCGTAGACACTAGGAACTTGGTATGCTCATCAGCATTGGTATTACCTGTATTTCTTCTTAATTTCAGCCATTCTAAAAAGTGTATAGTGGTGTCTCATTGTGGGCTTGATTTGAATTCCTTTAATGGAAAATCCTGTTAACAGCCTGTTTATATGCTTATGTGTCATCTGCACATCTCATTTGATGAAATGTCTGCACAAACCTTTGCCTATTTTATCCATGGGTTGTTTCTTTCTTATTTCTTTTTCACAGTTGAGTCTTGAGAGTTCTTATTCTAATTAAATTGGTGGTTATGTGATTTGAAAATAGTTTCCCATCTGAAACTTGACATTCATGTTCTTATAGTTACTTGAGTAGAAAACGTCTTTAAATTTAATGAGTTTCAACTGATAGTAATTTCATTTATTGATCATTTTTTACATATTATATTATATTATATTATTTTATTTTATTTTATTTGAGATGGCGTCTTGCTGTGTCACCCAGACTAGAGTGCAGTGGCACGATCTTGGCTCATTGCAAACTCTGCCTCCTGGGTTCAAGCAATTCTCCTGCCTCAGCCTCCCGAGTAGCTGGGATTACAGGTGCCTGCCACCACATCTGGTTAATTTTTGTATTTTTAGTAGATGGGGTTTCACCATGTTGGCCAGGCTGGTCTCAAACTCCTGACCTCATGATCCATCTGCTTCGACCTCCCAAAGTGCTGGGATTACAAGCGTGAGACACTATGCCCGGTCTAAATTTTAATTTTAAGATCATTGGTCAACTGTTAATTATTTTATATTTTTAACTTTTTTGTGTGTACATTTATTTGATAAATTTAAGGGCTATGAGTGCAACTTTTGCACATGGATATATTCCATAGTGGTCTTGGCTTTTAGTGTAATATCACCCAAATAATGTACATTGTACCCACTAGGTAATGTCTCCTCATGCTCCCACCTTCCACCTCCCATCCTTCTAAGTCTCCGGTGTCCATCATTTCTCTCTCCATATCCTTGTGGACACATTGTTACCTCCCACTTACAAATAATAACGTGTGGCATATGACTTTCTGTTTGTGAGTTAGTTCACTAATTATATTGTCCCCAGTTCTAGGCATCTTGCTGCAAAAGACACAGTTTCATTTCTTATTGTGGTTGACTAGTATTGAATTGTGCATATGTGCTGTGTTCTTTTATAAAATCATCTGTTGGTGGACACTCAGGTTGACATGTGTGTTATTAAGAATAGTTTTGTGGTAAACATAGAAGCATGGATATCTTTTTGAAGTAATGATTTATTTTCCTTTGGGTAGTTACCCCGTAGTCGGATTGCTGGATCAAATGGCAGTTCTATTTCCAGTGTTTTGGGAAGACTCCATACCATTTTCCATAGAGGTTGTCCTAGTCCACATCCTCATCTACAGTGTCGATGAGTTCCTGTTACTTTCCATCCTCACCAACATCTGATACTTTTGAGTTTTTAATAATAGTCACTGTGGCTTTTGTAAGATAATATCTTACTGTAGTTTTAATTTGCATTTCCCTGATGGTTAGTGATGTTGAGCATTGTTTATATATTTATTATCCATTTGTATGTGTTCTTTGGAAATGTCTACTCACGTCCTTTGCTCATTTTAATAGGGTTATTTGGTTCTTCTTCCTGTTGTTGTATAGTTTAATTCCTTGTAAATTCTTCATGTTAGTTCCTTGTCACAGGCAAGGTGTGCGAAAATTTTCTGTCATTCTGCAACTTGCCTGTTCAGTCTGTTGCTGTGAAATACCTCTATAGTTTAATTCTCACTTGTCTATTTTTTTCTTGGGTGTGTTTTGTGGTGTTAGTCATAAATTCTTCACCTCGCCCAGTGCCCAGAAGAGTTGTCCTCGTATTTTCTTTGAGTACATTTATAGTTTGAGGTCTCATATCTAAGTCTTTAATTCATTTTGTGTTGAGTATGTATGTGTTGAGGGTAGGGGTCTAGTTTTGTTCTTCTGCATGTTCATTTCCAATTTCCCCAGCACCATTTATTGAATGGGGTGTCCTTTTTCTGGTGTATGTTTTTGTTAAGTTTGTCAAAGATCATTTGGCTATAGATTGTGTGGCTCAATTCTGGGTTCTGTAAAATGTACCCTAGAGCCTTGATTCTCCTGAGGCCTCAGTAGTGACCTGCTCACAGTTAGAACTCTGTTGACTCAGTGGTGTTTCTATGAGTGTAGTGATTCGTGGTCATGGGGTGGTTTTCCTAAAATTGTGGACAATTCTGTTTTGATGTTCAAGCATGTGCTAAAAATTTCACAATAAATGTGTCTGTGAATTATCCATTTCATTTCCACATTACTCCTTGGACTTACTGAGATGTGTTTGTGATGTCAAGATGAGGTGTTTTTCTTTCCAGGTGTTGGATTTTTTACCTATCTGGGTATTTATGGGCTCCCTGGGTGGAAATAAGCCGCATCCATCACACCTACCTTATGGAATTTTTAGAAATTTATTTGTGCACTGCCACTGTGAGACACTCCATGATGATGACACATTTCATTTATGTTATTGTTTCATAAAATTACTAGTGTACCTTCCACTCTAGAAGAGAAGATGCTGTCTGGATTTTCATAATTCCTCCTGCTCTCTTATCTCCACATTCTTCTTTGACACCATATCTGCAGCTTAAGAATGACATACGCTACTGACATTTGTATTTGGTCCCTTAAAGTGATATGAACCTAAGGAACTGGTGGCCGCATATCAGTGATGCATCTGGCTCAGGTAATAGGAACCTTTCGTGCTGAATCTTGTCAAACTGGATACAGTCTCGGCTGTGTCCTGTTGAGTTAGGCATAGAATAGACAGCTTCATTGCCAAAGAAAAAAAGTAGGGGGTAAAATGGGTGGTATGTCTCCAGCAAATACAATGCATAGGAAAACAAATTGCCATATGCTTTAAGGCTCCGCTGCAATCATCTCTGAAACAATCTTTTTCCTTCTCAGCTTATTTGGGTGGCAGAGTCAGCTCCAAGGCTGCAGGCAGAGGCACCGCTCCTGAAGCACTGCTAGGCCCAGCTCCCATGTCAAAGGCCTCATGCAGCCCTACACACAGGGCTGGCTGGTTGCTCCCAAGCCCAAGCCTCTGTTGGGTGGTTTCTTCCTCAAGATTTTAGAAACAGGCTTTCTGGTCTGTTGAAATAAAGGCAGTGGTCTGATAGTTTCTAAATAAATTTAAAGCTTATTTTTTCTCCCTTCCAGAAGTATCATGTACATTTGCTGCCAAGTAGCTCTATTATTCCAGGCCATTAAATCTGAAAAATCTAACAGTTTTCATCAGATTTGTCTCAGGTCAATTCTCATTCTTTAAAACCTGAAATATTTCTTTTCATAGAGTATCTTAGGCTTCTTACTGAGTGATATTTCAGTCATATACTCAGTGTTCTTTGTAGAATACAGTTTCTGATTTTGGCAATATGGATAGGTTGAGAATTTTCTAAGTGCTCAGGTTTTTTATTCTTTTTCATTTATATTTTTTTCTGATTTTAATTTATCTACCTCACTTGTTATAAGCACTCAGGAGGAACCAAGCAAAATATCTTCAACACTTTACTTAGAACTATTCTCAGCTACTCACAAGTTCTCACTACTCGCAACTTCTCTTTCACTAAATATTGTATCACTGTCCAGCCAAGATTTTTTTAAAAACTTTATGATAAGGATGACTATTGCTCCATTTTCCAAAACCACTCTACTCATTTCTGTCTATCAGCATGACCCTCAACATACAAATTTCTTCATATATGTCAAAGGTACCCATCCTTTTACACATAACCCAATTCCAAGCTACTTTCACAATTTTCAAATAATTGTAACATCAGATTTCCACTTCCTAACCCCAAATTTTCTTTTGTCAGTTTAAGATGCCATTACAAACTATCATATTTGGTGACTCATGCAACATTAATTTTATTTCATTTATCAGTGCTGTGAACTCCAAGATCAAGATGCTGACAAGATAGGTTTTATTTTGAGGCTTCCACTTTTGGCTCAGAGCAGCCATCATATTGTTACTTTTTCATATGATCATTTCATTGTAGGGCATGTGTGTGTGTGTGCATGTGTGTGAGAGAGAGAGAGAGAGAAATAGAGAGAGAGAGAGGCTGTCTGGTGTCTTTACTTATGAGGTCAGTAATTTCATTCTGATGTTTCACCCTCATCATCTCCTTTAAAATTCAGTACTTTCTTTCTTATAGAAAGCAGCCCGACAGAAATTTGCAAACTTCCTTTGTGATTTTTATTATTATTATTTTTTAGCTCATCAGCTATTTTTAGTGTTAGTGTATTTTATGTGTGGCCCAAGTCAATTGTTCTTTCAATGTAGCCCAGGGAAGCCAAAAGATTGGACACCCTGCTCTACAGCTACAGTAGTTTAATATTAATATAAAGATATAGGCAGAACAACTGAACAGAATAAAGACTAGAAAAATATCTAAACATATTACTAATTATCTAAACATATTACTGATTTTCAGTAATGAAAATCAATTAACCACTGACATGTATTACCTATATGAATCTCACAAACAATGTTGAATGAAAGACTCAAGGCAGAGGTTGTACATTCCATTTCAAAATTTCAAAAACAGCAATCAAGACCAGTGTCAAAAGTTAGCATAGTGATTACTTCTGAATACTGTTAGAAGATAAACTCAGATAACTAGGAGATTAATGAGAAAAACAACCAAAAATGGCAGTAAGCATTGAATCTAATTACCTATAGGAGGCCAAGACTAATATAGGGATTTTGATTTGAAAATTAAATGTTGGAGTTGTAAACCTTGATAATAGGATAGATACATAACTATCTATATGTAGAGAGGCTGAGGTATGAGAATCACTTGAACCTGGGAGGCAGAGGCTGTGGTGAGCCGAAATTGTGCCGCTGCACTCCAGCCAGGGTGACAGAGCAAGAGTCTGTCTCAAAAAAAAAGTTATGAATAACTGTGCACCAGGTAACAGAGCATCAGCATTCACAGAGAAGAGCTATAGGGGAAACAAGAAAAAATATAGAAAACACAGCATCTTAATTATTTAATTCATGTGTTTTAGTTCATTAAACATCAAGAGGACCAAAATTAAGCAAGACTAAAAAATACCTAAATATCGTAATTGATAAGGTAGAAATATGTGTGTGTATGTCTGAACATAACAACTCATTCTTTTTTAAGTGGCAATGAAACATTCATAAAATAAAAAAAGAAATTTCTTAATTGCTATAAAAGTATTCCTGGGGATGAGTAATTTATAAAAAATCTAATTTGGCTGACGGTTTTGAAGGCTGTACAGGAAGTGTGGTTCTGCCATCTGCTTCTGGTGAGGGCTTCAAAAACCTTATATTTATGGTAAAAGGCACAGGGGAAGAAGGAGTGTCACATGGTGAGCAGGGGGAAGAAGGAAAGGGGGAGATCCAAGTCTCTCTTAAAAAATCAGATCCTGAGTGATCTAACTATGTGAGAACTCACTCATTACCAAGTGGATGGCACTAAGCCATTCGTGAGGAATCTGGATTCTGGATTCCCATGGGGTGATGAGAGGAGAGCAGAGGGGAGGAGGGGCAGGGTTGGGTCCTGGGTAAGGCGGTGCTCGGGCTGGGGTCCCTGGAGAGAAGTTCTGGGTTCCTGGGGGCCAATCAGGCAGGCGTCTTTTCTGTCCACACCCCGAGGGTCCCAGCCGGAGCCAGGTGGGGAACCATAAGGAGAGGGCTTGTGTCCTGTCCTCCCCAGTCCTCTAGACAGGGTGGGGGCTGAGGGGTCCACCCCAGGGCAGGGCCAGGCAGTGACTCTGATGTGGGGCCTGGTTTTCGTGGACTGGCCTGGGGGGTGCGGGGTGCAGAGCAGGAGGGGGCAGATTCTGTTGGGGGATGGTGCAGTCATCCCTGTGTTCAGGCCATTTCCTGCCCTGGTCACCTGCAGTGAACCCTGGCAAGGAGGGGGTGGCCTCCCAGACAGCAGCCTGCCTGGGATCTGCTCTGGCCCTGGAACTGGGGATGGAGCCATTCTGGAGGTCAGCAGCTGCCTAGGACAGCAGGGGACCAGGCCAGCCCCTAGCAGGGGAGGCAGTGGGGATTTTGGCAAGGACCGAATTGTTTGGGAGCCAGTGCCCCACTAGGCACAGTGACAGACACCCCAGCAGTATGTCCTGTCCCCACCAGACTGCCCACCCTATCTTAGGTGTAGCATGTGAGGGTGCCGTGCCCCTGGCAGGCCCAGCCCTTGACCTTCCATGCAGTCATGAGGCCCTGGGAAGCTGAGAACAGACCTCCCACTGAGGGAACCCTCCCCACAGAGGGCAGAGTGCAGACAACAGTGACCTTGAGAGCACCAGGAGAAGCAGGTGAGCTGGAGGCCTGGGGCTGCATGGCAGTGGCTCATCTACTTGGCCTGGTTGCTGCTATGGGTGGCCCCACTGTGGTAATCGTAGACACTATATCCACCACAGTCTGACACCCCCTGACAATAACCACACCTGGAACTGGAGGCGGGGCTGTCAGGAGGAGCTTCCCAGGGAGCAAGGAGGGTCCAGACAGCTGTGCCAGGGGCCCCCAGGACTGGGGACGTGGGGGGCTGCTCAGGGACCAGACATGCACAGTGTCCCCCTGGAGAGGCCTCTGCAGCCTCCTGGGCTCTGGGACGGGCCTCCAGTCAGCAGGAGGCTGGGTGCTCCCCGACATGTGCTCTCCTGCCCTCACTGGTGAGCTCCTATGTGGCCCAGTGCAGGCCCAGCTCCAGCGTCCGCTCCTGTCAGCCTGGCCGAGGGTCTGGGCAGAACTGGGCATGGCTCCTTCTTAGATCCCTCGGGGACTGTCTCTACAGCTGTACCTGGGGCTGGGGGCTCCATGAGTGGTCTTTGCCATATGGGGACGTCAAAGGCAGGTGTTTCTCTAGTGGCAGGTGAGGGAGACTGTCCAGGGCCTGGCCCTACGAAACATAGTGGCCTCTCAGAGGAGGGTGTGTGGGAGTCCTGCCTATTGGGAGCCTGGCGGATGCTGCCCTCTTGATTCCAGCCAGGATGGGAATCCAGGCAATTGGCAGGAGGTGCTGGAACAAGGCTGGTGTCTACAGCAATTCCCGGCCCTAGGAATTGGCTGTTGGAACTGTGGCAGCTGTTGGGACAGGGTTCGGTGCAGCTGGCAGGCACCTGTGGTCATGAGTGAGGTCACCTCAGAGCCCTCTGAAGCCCTTGTTTGAAGGCAGATGAAGTGTGGGGCACCAGCCCATGGGCTTTCATGGCCAAGGTGTCCCTAGAGGCCGAGGGTCTGGGCAGAAATCCTTGGGCCTGGCTCTTCTTATCCTGGAGAACTCTGAGCCGAGAAGTGTGCATAAACCCTGGGAGTCCGGTCAGTTTTTGCTGCTGGGTTCATCACTGTGGTAGTTAGCACCATAGTCACATAGCAGGAGGGCCTTCACAAAAAGCCCCTCAGTGAGCCCAGAGGCATTTCCCACGCAGGTGCTGGTCCAGGCGTCTGGGGCCCCCATTGACAGTGGTGCTGCATCCTGGGGATCTCAGACCGGTCTGAATCTTCCCCGCCTGCCGTCGAGGGCAGGAGGGTCTGACTCACCCTCCAGGGCTCCTGTCCCCTCCAGGAGGGGCTGAGGTGACATCCGGTCAGAGCATGTGCAGGAGTCAGGCCTCCTGGATTTTTAGTCCTGGGGTAGGTGCAGGGGGTGGGACACCTTTTAGGGGTCTGGGAAGGGCTGGGCTGTGGGGCTGTCCCCATGGGCCATCTTGTGTTCTGGGTGCCGTCCTGATCCAGATGTGGGTTCCCGATGTGATATCACTGAGGACTGTCCTGGAAGAGGGTGCCCACTGGGGAGAGAGACAGGGATTTCTGGAAGGTTCTTTGTCTCTGACTGTGAGAGGTGAGTCCTCTGTTGGCTTCCCGGGTGAGGTTTGGAAAGGAGCAGGACTCAGGACGGCCAGGCAGGATGAGCGACTCCCAGCTCCGGCTGTCCCGGGAATGCCTTCTGTCTTGGAAATGACCCAGGAGAGGCTCAGGTGTCAGAGCCAGGCAGGCCAGGGACCACAGGGGCAGGGACAGTGCACAGGACCAGCCCCGCCCTCCTGCCCCTACTCGGACCTGGGGGGTTCTCAGGGTCCACACATGTGGCTCAGCCTTGAGGGAGGGGCTTCCGGGACTGCTGGGTGCCTGTCCCCATCTGGACTGGTACTAGAGGGCAGCAGCGATGCAGACCTGTTGGACTCAGGTCTGGCTGACCTATGGGATAATCCTGGCCATCTGTTTCATGGTCTCCGGGGCTGGCGGGCAGGAGCTCAGGGTGGTCACTCTTGGGCTTGTCCATTGTGCCTGCTGCCCTGTGTGTTTGGGACACAGGTTGCACTGCTGTGGTAGCCACTACACCCATGGTGCTGTGGCCTCGATCAAAATCCTAACGCGGCATGTGGTGGTCCACTGTGGGGAGGGCTATGGCAGAAGGCTCCCAGGGATGGGTTTTTGATGGACTCTGTGACACTGTGGGTATAATAACCAGTCCAAAAATCATAATACCACAGTGACACAGACCTCACCCCAAACCTACTGCCAGGTCCGGGGAAACTCGGGATGTCCAGGGCTGACCTGAGGAGGTAGCAGGGCACCGAGGGGAGGCTGTGGGCCCAGCGCTCTCAGGTCTGCTGCGGGGACACTCGGGTCTGCCCCTCGCTTAGGTGGACAGTGTCTGTGCCCACCTGTGTCCTGAGGCTCCATTTCAGGCTGATATCTGTCTGTACTGTCCCTACCCATTCCATAGCCATGTCCTTTTGGGTTTATAAATTGCCCCCAAATCACGCAGGCATCACTCAGGCTTTTTATATTCCCTGGGCCACCAGGTGCCTCCACCCAGAAAGGTGAGATGTGGGAGAGTTCCAGAGTCATTCTGCAACCCTGGATGAGCCCTTGCAGCCTCAGTGCTACTGAGGTTCCAGCAACACCTGGAGCAGGTGCAGGTGAGGCCCGAGGCCAGGTGAAGCCCAGGCCAGGTGAGATCCAGGCCAGTGATGCCCAGGTCAGATGAGGCCCAGGTCAGGTGAAGCCCAGGTCAGGTGAAACCCAGGTCAGGTGAGGCCCAGATCATGTGAGCTCGGGACAGGCAAGGTCCAAGTCAGGTGAGGCCGAGGTCAGGTGAAGCCCAGAGGTGAGGTCCAGGCCAGGTGAGGCTTAGGCCAGGTGAGGTCCAGGCCAAGTGAGGTCCAGGTCAGGTGTGGCCCAGGTCAGGCAAGGCTGAGGTAGATGTATGAGACTTCTGTAATTTTCAGTCGGTGCCAACCCTGCCTGGTGTCCCTGCCCCTCCTCCCAGCCCACGCTCTGTGCCTGCCAGATGGCAGCCCCTGCACAGGTGGTGCTGGCTGTGGAGGAGCTGGGCTCTGCTTCCCTGTGCATGGGCGTCCCTCTCGGGCTCTGGCCTGGGAGTGTGGCTCAGTTGCTTCTCTCTGGAATGTGCCGACTGTGCCATCCTTGGGGGTATATGTTCTCGGGGGGATACGGCTCTGTGCCTGCTCCACATCTGGCCCCAGGAGCTGCCAGCAGGTACCGGCCTGCCCTGCCACACAGTGAGCCTGCAGCCTGTCCGGGGATGCCCAGGGAGATGAGTGCTACCACACATCAGGCCTTTTCTCTTTAAAGTCATTTCTTTGGGGATACATCATCGATGTCTCATATACTGAATGTATGTCTGTATCACTGTGCAATTGCCTGTGTCATCGTTTATTTATCCAACCTGGGTTAATGTCTTTGCTATTATGAACAGTGCCGGAGTGAGAATTTTCTAAACACAGCTGTGTACATTTTCCTCTTCTTGCGATTTAGAAGTTTAACTGCTGTTTTCAAGGTACTGTAATGTATTTGTTCTGTTCTTGTTAGGAGACTTGCCAAACCTGTGTGTCTCTGTTCACACCCTCTTCCTTCCCCAGTAGAAGTAACCACAACTGTGTTTATGTGATCATCGTTTTCTTGATTTTCCTTATAGTTTTTCTAGTGGAAAGTTTATCCCTTAAGAAGATAGTTCATTTTGCCGGGTGTAAATTTTATTTAGAAGAAATCATATTGAAAGTATTTTTTGGAGTTTCCTTTGTTACTCCAATTACTCAGCATTGTCATGAACTCAACCACAGAGTTGCCCGTAACCCTGTACTGTTGTCCTCGTGGCTGTCTGGGTTTGCATTTCATGAACCTGCCATCGTTTATTTGCCTGTTTTCCTTCAGATGGATGTTTGCTTCATTCTCAGTTTAGGGCTATGACAAACATATGTTCTGCACATCTTTGCCCATGAGGTTCTCAGGGAGGGCTCTGGGGCTGGCATTGCCTGCAGGGCTCTGCTTTGTTGCAGGGAGTTCCTGCCAGGGCTTTTCAGAGTGTCTGTGCCCAGCAGCAATGCCTGAAGGTACACACTGTACTTTGCCCTTGCATCAGGCACTTTCTGTTTGCTTGCTTCTGTGTGGCTCCACATTCTGGAGAATTTATTCAGATCTGTGCTGCAAATCCTTCTCACTGATTCTCTCTTTAGCTGTGTCTACATCAGCTGTTAAGCATCCCATGATGCAGCAGTGTGGGCACAGGGCAAACTTTCGAAAGATGACAGTGTGGGATAGAGGCTGCTCCTCCTTCCCTGTGCCCTTCCCACACTGTCCTCCTGGGCTCACTCCCAGCCATTTATCTCGAACACCAGTTTATGGAATTCTCTGCCCAGGAAAGCAGAAACAGTAAAAGGCCCTGCTCAGGCTCTGCCTGCATCTTCTCTTGCACACCCACCAAAGCTCTTTCCTTGGGGCCTGTGCCAGCTTCCCCAGCTTGCTTCTCATTTTCTGTTTACTCTGCTCGCTGGCTGGTGGGGGTGATGTCTGGGGGGAAGTCTGGTGTGTTTTGGCATTGGTGGACACCCCTAGGCCCTACTTCCCAGACGCTCCCCCTCAGCTCCAGAAGTGGAAGCATTTACAGCAGGGCTTTGGGACTGGGGGCTGTGTCACTGTGGGCATAGAAAGTAGTACTATTACAATATTCTCACAGTGACACAAGCCCCCACAAAATCCTCCTGTCCCCATGGGTGTCACGGAGTCCCCCCTTGCTGTCTCTGGCCAGTTCTCCTGCTGATACTGTGATTTCCAGGGGGTTTTTGTCTGAAACTCAGGGTGTCTTGGAGAGGACTCTGAGCCCAGTGCTGTACAGGGGGCTCCTCCTTTGTCCTGGGGGAGTTGCGTGGACCCTGTGTTTGGTTAAGGGAAGCATTTGCTGGTGAGGGAGACCTCCCCTCCTCTCTTTCTCAGGAGCCTCCTCTGATGATTTTGCCTGGTGTTTCTTGGGGCTGGTGCTCGGGGCTCAGCAGTCTCCGCCCTGGTCCAGCTGGGAATGTGGGTCCGTCCTGTTTCCATGAGTTTTCTGGGGCCACCAGTGAGGGGCTCGGGATGTCAGCGGCTGGTCTCGGTCCCTATGGTCTGGGCTCCGGCTCACTGCTCCCCTGCCCTCCAGGTCAGTCACTGACTCAGTTACTATGCAGCGGGCTCCATGGCTGTTTGGTGGTGGCTGCAGGTCTCTTCCCAGGAGAGGCCTGCAAGAGGGTTGGGATGTCTGGGAGCCCTGCATTCTCCCGTGATGTTGCTGCCTGGATCCCTCATCTTTAAAGGGAGTGCCGAGCCTCCCTGCAGGTGTGGGCAGTGAGAGACACAGGCGGATGTGCATCAGGGCGCTGGAGGCCGATTTCTTTCATTGCCTTCTGCCTGTGGAAGAGCTGAGCTCCCTGCTTCTGTGCACAGGAGATTTCCCTGTAAATGGGGAGTGAGGGCAAGGGTCTGTGTGGGGAAGACTTGGGTGAGCCTTCGTCCTGGAAATACCAGGGCCATGTCCAAGAGGGGAGTGGAGCCAAAGTGTCCAGGAGGAAGGTGAGGGCAGTGTGTGGGTGGGAGTGCACGGTCAGTGCCATGGCTCAGAGGCCCCAGGAGAGGAAGAGCTCAAGTTGTGGGCAGGAGGAGGCAGTGGGTAGGCACAGGGGGGAGAAACTGAGGCTCTGGCAGCAGAAGAGGGGAGGGCCTGCATGTGCAGGGTTGGCCTGGGAGGGGTGTCTGGAGGGAGAGACAGGGGTCTGGGTGGAGACCAGGGTGGTGACTGCAGGGACAGGACCCCAGGATTGTCTGGGTGGGCGGCAAGAGCAGCAGGGCAGAAAGGGCCCAAGGCAGGGTCCAGTCTTCTCAGGGTGTGGGCTGCAGGGATGGGACCCCAGGGTTGTCTGGATGGGCAGGAAGAGCAGCGGGGTAGAAAGGGCTGGAGGCAGGGTTGGGCGTCCCCAGGGTGTGGGGTGCAGGGAGGGGCTGCACAGGCTGTCCCCCTGAAGGAGGGAGGAGGGAAGGAGCACAGAGGTGCTGGGAGCAAATGGAGAGGGAAGTGGCAGCGACCTGCATGCCAGGCGGTCCCGGTTTGGGGTTGATCTGTGTGGAATAGCTCCCTGGCCCATGTGTAAGTGGTCAGGGGAGACATGGAGGTCTGGAGCTACAAGCGGTGGCAGGAAGGCAAGTCCTGGTCTTGGGGGTCTGGAGCTTATCTTCTTCCTGTGAACTGAGTGTGGGCGGCACCTATGGGTGGTGCCCTGGACCTGTGGTCTGGTGGAGTCCAGGCCTCCCAGGGATAGCAGGGCAGCCAGGGCTAGAGGAGCCTGAGGGGCCAGGTCAGGGTAGCCCTGGGGACACTGCCTCCACCTTTGACCAGCGCTGCTGCGGGGATCTGGTCATGAGACCCCTTCACCCAGGAGGGGAGGCACGTGAGTGTGACCCTAAGTCTGTACCCTATGGGGGGCTCTGACCCTCCTGCATAGGGCCTGGACAGGGGTGGGTGGCTGTGTGCAGGTGGGGAGTGGGGAGCCCAGACTCTCCCAGACACAGCCTGCTCTGCTCCAGAATGTGGGCTTGGGGACTGCAGGCTGGCTGGGTCTGGGCTGCCTGGTGTGCCTGTGGTGGCTGCATTCCCATATCTGGGACTGAGGCCTAGTGAGTACCAGGAGGAGCCTGAAGGGAGCTCCATGGAGGACCTGCCTCGGATGACACCCCTATTTTAGGAAGGACATGGTGTGTTCCAGCTGGGAGGAAGGGAAGTGGGCCACCTCCTGGGGGTCTTCCACCCCCACCACCTCAGCCTGGGGCTTCTGTGCTTCCTCCCTGCGCAGACCCCAAAGTCTGTGCCGCCACAGGGCAGGAAGGAAGGGCCTGTGTCCTGGTCGAGGTTGGGGCCACAGTGGTGTTCCCTAAGCCCCAGTCTGCTCTCAGGGCCCGCCCCGCAGCAGGTCCTGAGTGAGGGACAGAGACGGGGAGGGGTTTCTGATCCTGGTGGACTCTGGGGTGGATTCCAGTGGGGAGTCATCAGGGTCGGTGTCCCCCAGGGTATTGGGGTGAATGTGCTCCTGGAGTCTGCTCTGGATGTGGGGTTTATGCCTGTGCTGCCTGGGGTTGATGTTGGGAGGTGCCAGTGACCCGTTTCCCTGAGGGACTCTTGTCGGTGGTAGGGTCAGTTCTGGCCAGGGGCACTGGCGCCATAGCAGTAGGATGGGGTCCAGCCCCTTCCATGACCCCCTGGAGCCCTGGTCCCCATCCTCACCATTCAATGGGGACTCCGTTGTGCTCTGGCTGCTGGGGGTCATGTGAGCTGAGCAGGACCTAGGTTCGGGGCGGCTGTTCCCCTCTCTGGCATGGCCTCCGGCAGTGGCCAGGAGACGGTTTTGGACAAAGCTTTTCTCACAGTGGTTGTTCCAGTTATACCCACTGTGACTCGGGGCTGTTCAGAATCTGCCCAGGTGCCCTGAGCTCTGGGGCCTCCTGGGTGGGGGCTGGGCTTGTGGGCAGGATCTCCTTTGGGGGCTCTGGAGGCTGTGGCTCACTTTGGTTGTGGGGTGAGCACTGGAAGCCCCAGCTAGCAGAACACCCACAGAGACTGGGGCCTGCACACATTCCGCCCCAGTGTGTGGGGTGGGCCCAGGCCCCTCTGCGCAGGTCAGCTTCAATGGGGAGGGTGCTCAGGTCCTGCTTGTTTTCCTCTGGGTTAATGGGATTCATCTCCTGGCCCCAGATCCTCACAGGCTGCCCCTGTCCCTCCAGCAATGCAGGACATGGCAGGTCACCCTGGAGGGAGGCATGTTCTGGTCTGGGTGTCAGGTGTGGCACCTCAGATTTTCCATGCATGCTGTGGGCTGAGCAGGACAGCAGATGACCCCGGGCCCCCACCCTGTCTATGGACATTTTTTGCTGCGGCAACTGTGGGAGCTGACAGTGTTCACAGCCACGCCACGGTCATCATCGTAGTCAAGTCTTTCTAAGAGTTTCATTGTGACGAAGCCTCCTATTAAACGGCACCTCGGCCCTGCTTCCTGAGGGTTACTGCTGAGTCCCGGATTTCCCACAGAGGCGAAGAGAGGAGAGCAAAGGGAGGAAGAGGCAGATGAGCTGGGCCCTGCAGAAGGGGGTGCTTGGGTTGGGGTCTGTGGAGCAAAGATCTGGGCTCCTAGGGGCCACGCAGACAACCATCCTCCCTGTTCACACCTTGAAGATCCCAACAGGAGCCAGGTGGGGAGACTGTGAGGAGAGGGCCTGTGTCTTGTCTTCCTTGGGCCATGGGACAGGGTGGAGGTTGAGGGCTTCTTTCCCAGGGGATCACAGAACAGCACCTCTGCTGTGGGGGGCATCTAGCATGGGGGGCTGGGCTGTGGGGTGCAGGGCAGGAGGGGGCATGCATGGGAGGGGTGTGGCCCAGTCATTCCTGCATTCACAATCTTTCTTGTCCTGGGCACCTGCACTAGACCCTGGCCTGGAGGGGCGGCTTCCTAGCCTTCAGCATCCCTGGAGTCTGCTCTGACTCTGGACCTGGGGACAGGAGCCAGGCAGGAGGTCAGCAGCCTCCTAGGACAGCAGGAGGGCCCAGGCCAGTGCCTAGCAGACTTCCACGGGAGAGGGGTCCCAGGGGCGGGGAGATAATGATTTCTAGAAGGGTCTGTGTCTCTGAGTGTGCAAGTTTGTCCAAACTGTCCACCAGCTGTGATCAGGTAAACACAGGCAGACCTGAGTTCAGGCGGAGGAAACAGTTTTGTCATTAACTCTCTACCGACTCTAGGGGAATGAGCCAAGCTCCATTGTCGTCTGTGCAGAGGCCACAGCCTTGAAAAGGGAGGGGGTAGAGGGAGCAGGGAGGGTGCTCGGGGCTCAGTCGTCGGGGAAGGGAAAATTTGCCCAGTGCTGGTCAGCGTCCCTGGGATGGGGCCCGCTGTGTCCGTGCTGGCCACTGTTGAGGTCAGGATTCTGTCCTCCCAGAGCCTGGAGACACAGGCCCCATCCTTCCCAATGGGGACACTTCAGGGAGTGGCTCTCAGGTCCCGAGAAAGACCTTCCTGGCCACAGGAGACACACAGACATCAGGAAGGGACAGAGGAAGGATGTGCAGTTGCAGCCTTTACAGCAGATGCTCTGAGAATGGGAGGTCGAGAGTTGGAGCAAACGGTCAGTTCTGGTGCATTGAGCTTTCTCAGGCAGGTGTTGATGGGGCTGGGGTCAGCCTAGGGGTGTGACCTGAAGCCACTGGAAGCCTTGCTGGGGTCTGGCTCTCTCTTGGTGCAGTGGGGTGGAGGGAGCCCTGACAATAGAGCACTGGGGGGCCTCCAGGAGACCATCCCTGCAGCAGCCGGGCCATGCTCTGAGGATGTGGGAAGAGGACCCCCACTGTCTCTGAGTATAGGGTGGTGACTTCTTTGCACAGACTGGCCAGGGGTCCCACAGGGGCACAGTACAGGTGTCCCTGGGCTGCAGGGCTGGGGGACATCAGAGCTGCTCTCTGGGCTTGGCAGCCACCTCATGTGGGATCAGAAGGGGGGGGCAGTGCCTGGTGCTTCCCCTCCAGGCCTCTCTCCATGGTGTCCAGGGTAGCTTCTGGGGCTTTGGTGCCAATTTCTGAGGCCAGGGTCCTACCCTTCCTGATGCCGTGATGCTTGGTGGCTCTGGAGGAAGCCCCAGCTTTGGCCACTCCTGCACTGCCTGGGGCTCCAGTCCTGCTGCGCCTTGAGGGGAACCCAGGGCCCCAGGCTTGGCCCTGTAAGGTCAGATGGGGGCTGGGCTCCAGCATCCTGCCGCTAGGTTTAATTCCTAAATGACAGGGAGGCAGACTCTGGCTGAGCTCAAGACCTGTTCCCAGGCTCTGTGCCAGAGCAGGGTCCCCCAGCAGAGGCTGTGTGGAGCTGGGCAGGGTTCGCACTTTGTGGGGAGTTCCCTGGACCTGGAGACTCAACCCTCAGCCTCCTTGATGATGAATGATTCATCCTGTGACTGTCTTGGCCCAGACAATCAGGTGGCCTCCTCACCTACCCCTCTTCAGACAGGGCCTCAGACCTAAGGCAGGAGCACCCCCTACACCAGACCTCCTGGGTCACAGGAAATGCACAGACATCGGGAAGGGACGGAGGATGGACGGAGGAAGGACGTGCAGTTGCAGCTCTTTCTGCAGATGCCCTGAGAGAGGAGGTAGGAGCACGCTTGCTGTGGTTTGAATGCTTCTCTCCTCCAAAACTCATGTTGAAATTTCATTGCCATTGTAACAGTATGAAGAGTGATTAGGTCATAAGGTCCCCACCTCATGGGTGGGATTGGCGCTGTTATAAAAGGGTGAGTTCGGCCCCCTCTTGCTCTCTTTCTTGCCTTCTGCCATATGATGACACAGCAAGAAGGTCCTTGCCAGATGCTCCTGGACTTGCTTTGGACTTTCCCTTGCTCTTGGACTTGCTCTGGCACCTTGCTCTTGGACTTCACAGCCTCTAGAACTGTGAGAAATAAATTTCCGTTCAGTATAAACTTCCCAGTCTTGGGTGTTCTATTACAACATCACAAAACAGTCTAAGACAACCCCGTATTCAGACCTAAGGTGAGATAACCCCTACCCATATCTAAGGATCCCCTGCTCCAGATCTTAGTGGTGAGGTCAATACAGGACTCCCTCTGAGGGAAGCCCTGACAGCAGTGCCTGGGAAGGCATCTGTAGGGCCCAGTGGGCCGGGGAGGCCCAGGACACACCTACATCATCTCTCATAATCCCTCCATTCTGTTATAACAGGAGCATATGCTTATAGCATACTTTAAAAATCAGCCCAAAACTGAAGGTAAGCATCAGTTAATTGATGGACTCCTTTTCACGGTTTGGTCTTTGTATTTACACCACAGTCATCTCACAGTGTGTGTTGAGCTTTGCACCCTTTTATCAAATGAGGTCACCCCATGAATGCTGGCTGTCACGTTATCACAGATATGTGACAAGTATAATTGGGAATGTTTGCAGAATAGTCCCATTAATGTATGCACCATAATTTCTTCAGGCACTATCTTGCTTTCAACTATTTTATAATTATAAATAATGGTCTGAAGAATGTCTGTTCACAAAGTGTTTTCCTCATGTGTGCTAGCCACTTGTTTTCTTTTGGAAATTGTGTTATATCCTTTGCTGATTTCTTAAGGGATTTGTTCTTTTTCTTATTAGCTTATGTATGTTGTTTGCCTAATAATGGTACAAGACCTTTACATATTAGATTAATATTATTTGAGTTTATTATTTACTGTTAAGTTTTGATGATTTTTAAATGTAAAGAATCTGTAAAGGTGTTACCTAGCTTCATGATTTGGGTATGCGGTGAAGCCTGCCCAACTTTGGGCAGCTGTCTGGGCCTGTGTTTCCAGAGCTTGAAGGAGTCTCTGCTTCCCTCTGGAGGGCTGGTGTGATAGTGTTCTCTCTCCAGGCCTGGGTGCCCTCCTGGGTCTGGGCTTGGGCTGGGCTCTTAGATGTCTCAGAGGAATTGAGACTCTATTAATCAAGTGAGTCTTTCCATTTCTGGTGAGATGATCATGGGTCATCATTGGCCTGAGTGGTGGGATGAGCTATAAATAGTTCTTAATTCCCGGTGTAAGTCCTTGTTCAATGAGATGGACAGAATTTGGCCTTCTAGGATGTCATTTATAACATTTGGCTCTTTGCCAAAATGCAAGTAACCCATGTTTTACTCTGGAGACTGTGGAGTGTGATCCCGTTCATAGACTTTTCCATGTTTCTCCAAATCCTGGAGCAGTTCTTATGGGAACTGATTAGTTTTGTGAAAGTCTAAACTTCACCCATAAAGCCATCTTGGCCTGAAGTCATCTGTGAGGGCAATTATTTAATAATCTTAATGCTTTCTTGAGGATTATTGTTCCAACTACGATTTCCATTTCTTCTTGAGTCAGTTTTAAGTTTTATTGCTAGAAAAGAAAAATGCCAACTTGCCGTCATCTCTGCCGTCACTATTTTGTGTTCAACAATTGCCTTCTGTATCTGCTGTGTCTTCCCCAGCACAGAAGCTGTAATGTTATTAAACAAAGCAATGTATCCAGATCACTCAGAATCTATGCCTGTCACGGGGAGCAGGAGATGAGGGTGAATGAAGAGCCAGAGCATGGCAGGGGAGCCACTGCAAGGATGCTGAAACTCATGTGAACAGAGTTGCTGTAGGCAGGCCACCATGGAACCTTGCGGGGGAAGCACTGCCTCTTAGGAATGGCAGTGAAAATGGGAGAAGAGGGTGGTATTGCCTCCAGATAGAAGATGCAGTGCTTTGCCTTGCTCCTTGGTGCATGGAGAGGGAAAGGGATGCTGCTATAAAGTTCCTGGCTGGACTTTGGCTTGATAAGGCATGGGTACCTTTGGGAGTATGAGGGCGGGTGGGTTTGTGCACATCTTCCACGAGGAGCTGTTAGTATTGGGGCAGACGTTTCAAGTATGGCAAACAAAGGATGTTCTGCATGGGGAAATGTGGTGACATCCATTTCACAAGGACAGCTCACATAGATTGAGTGCTCAGGAAGGACCAGCATCATACCCAGTGCCTGATGTGTATCATCTCAATTAGTCCTTGCCTCAAATGCAAAAGGAAGCCATTGCCATCTTCATCACCACCATCATCATCATCCTCCTGTGCAGATGGAAAAGCTGAGGCATAGAGAGGTGACGGAGTCTGCCCAAGACTGCAAGCCTGCTGGTGGCAGAGCCAGATTCCAATGGAATGAAGGTTGTCATCCTCAGATGGCAGGGTAGGCAGGTGGCTAGAGCTCACTTGGGAGAAGGGGAAAGGACACTGACATTGGCTAGGGATGGAGCAGGGCTTGGGCTGGCTTTCCATGCACGGGCAGTGGGCCTGGCTCATGGCTGTGCTCCAGCCCCGGGTGTGGACATTGAATCTTCCAGGTCTACCCTAGGCTATGGGTTTGGACAGCACTGTGATGGAAAGAAGACGCTCTATGTCCTGCAGTCTGTGACCAATGATGTGACTGTGGGAATGGCGCTGGCATCTGGCTGCCACTCTGGGACGGGTGGCCAGCTGCCATCAGGCCCTGGGATGGGACCACCATACGACTTCTTCCCTCGCTCCTCCAGGTCATGTCCACAGCCCAGGAGGACCAGCAAAGCCTCTCAAGCCGATGGCAGCTCACGTTCTGCCTTGTCAGCTACTCCTCTCCTGGGCAACATTGGCTGCTTGCTGTGGCTCTCCCTGGGGTACGTGACTGCCTCTGTGCTGGGCGCCTGGCCTGGGCTTTCCTTCTGGGCCTGGGCAGCTGGGCTCAGCTTGGACCCAGGCAGCAGCCACAGAGGGGCCCATGGAGGTGACAGAGTTGCTTCTATGATGGTGAACGGGCAGCTGTGACAGGGGGGAGGCGACCACTCCTTAGTTTCCAAGTGCTGCGGTCAGGGCCAGGGCCAGCAAAGTCCCTCCCATATTCAAAGAGTGGGTTTGGGTTTGTCCCAGGAGGACATAGTCAGGAGCCCATGCTGGGACATGCCTCCTCCAAAGTTCAGCCTGGACCCCAGCCTCTGCCAACGGCCCCGCTCCTTAGCTAACCCAGCTTACTCCTGGGTTCCACAGCAGAGTCAGATGTTTCTGGGTACTTTCACCTTTGTGCCTTAAAGCATGTTGAGGACTTTAAGGAATTGTGGAGAAATAGGGCTGTGCCAAAGGCAAGTGACAACCGGGAACAATGATCCCACAGAGGCTGCTGAGGCCTGGGCCCCAGGGGCGTGAGTTCATCCTTCTGCCTGGGCTTTGGTGAGAGGGGCAGACTCTGTGGTCTGAGACACAAAAAAACCCCAAAACATACTTGTGTACAGACACACAGCAGAGGCACACACACACTTGGGCCCATGCACACACTCACAGGAGGCCCGTGGACTCCGCACAGTGAAGAAACTCCTCCGGTTGACAGTGGAAGGTGCTGCAGCAGGGACCCACCCCCAAGCCCTGCCTGCCTCCCATTGCCCACCTGGCCCTGGCTTGATGGGCTCATCTCATGCTGTGGCTGGGGCCTCTTGCTTCCTGCAACCCCTTGCTGGCCTGGGGCCTGGGCCTCTCCTGGGCTGTGCCTAGGGTTTGTAACCCAGGGCCTGTGCTGGCGTGCACAGAGCATCTCTCCCTGGGAGGCTCAGGGCTGCCTCCTCGAGTTCTGTGGGCCTGCACCGGCTGGTGAGCCTGTGGTGTGCATTTTTAGGCTGTATCCTTCTACTTCCTGAGTCCAGGGGTCCCAGGTACCCTGCAGCTGTCTCCTCAGCCACCCTGTGGGGCCCCGAGACCTTGCCCTCACTTCAGTGCCCGGGTGCTCCAGCTCTGCCCAGGTGCCAGGCGAAGGTGTGAGCATGAGCCTATCGGACACACCTGGCAACGTATACCGGGTGTCCCACCCCTGCCACCACGGGGCCTCCCAATACGGCAACCGCCACGGACCTGTGGGGACCAATGAGGAAAGAGAGACGCAGGTCTGGGCCAGGCTCACAGGGACTCCGCCATAGCAGACCCTGCCCCAGCAGGCCCCCTTGTCCTTCCTGGGCCCTGGTCCTTCATGAGGAACTAGCCCATCCCTGGTGGGGCTCCCACCCCACTTCTAGTGGGCTCCATGCTTGTCTTGTCTGAGTCACCCCTCAGGCAGTGGCAGGATCCTCTCCTTTAGACCCACTGTGCCTTCCGGGCCTCCTGGGCTTCTGCTGGGGACAGAAGAAATGCCTCCCCAGGTCTGTCTCTGGAGGCTCTGAGGGAGATGGGCTTGGGGGCTCTAGGAGGAGGCAGGGATTCCAGGGTGTTAGGAAGGCAGGGGTGCAAGGTCCCACCCAGTGAAGTAACAAGCCGTGGGTGGTGACAGTGACCCAGCGCCCTCGCTGCCCAGCCCTGCCTGTCCCCAGCCAGCACTGCAGGGAACCCAGTGAAGTAACAAACCGTGGGTGGTGACAGTGACCCAGTGCCCTCACTGCCCAACCCTGCCTGTCCTCAGCCAGTGCTGCAGGGATCCCAGGCCCAGACTCTGCAGGCCTTCACTGATCCTGGCCACCCAGAAAGGCTGCAGCCTGCGGGCACCAGCCGGGCCACATGCCCAGTGCCAGCTAGGGCCCACCGCCCATCCTTCACACAGGGCTGCTGGGTAGGTGCCCCTCACACCCCCAGGATGTCAGTGCTCACCTCGAGCAAAGTGCCCCAGCTTGGCCTTGGGAGGCGGTCATGTCCCGGGGCATGATGGAGAGCTGTCCAACTGAGAGAAAGGGAGGGAGGGAAGGAGGGAGGGAAAGAGACAGAGAGAGAGAGAGAGAGAGAGGAGGTGTGGGCTCTAAGGCTGCCTTAGTGGAGTTGTGCGTGGCCTGCACCTCACCAAGCCTAGCCACTCTCACCGCTCTGAGTGGCTCACAGGCTTGTGAGGGCCCCGTCGCTGCCTGCTGGGTCCCCACCAGGGCTCCCTCTAGGAATGCGCCATGGCTGCTATGACAATTTGCACAGCCCAGTGGCTTAAACACCACACATTTATACCACAGGTCCAGATGAATCCTACAGGGCCAAGGTCTAGGTGTGCTGGAGGCCATGCTCCCTCCAGGCTTGCGGGGAGAACTTCCCTGCCTCTTCTAGTCTCTGCATCCCTGAGCTCTCGGCTCCTCCTCCGTCTTCAGGGCCAGGGCGTAGCATCTGCTCTCTCAGCCTCTGCCTCTGCTTCCGACCTCATCTGGCTTCTGTCTATGTCAGTCTCCCTCTGCCATCCTCCTAGAAGGACACCTGTGATTATATTAGGGCTCACCTCTTTAATCCAGGAGCACCTCTCCACTTCATGATTTTCAGCTAACTTCCTTCTGCAAAGACCCCCTTTCCCTATAAGGGCACACATTCACTGGTCCCGGGGCTAAGGACCTTGCTCCAAGTCCCTCCACCCATGATGTTGTGCCTTCCAGAAACCTGTCCTCTGCAGTTCGGTCTTGACCCCAAGCCTGCTGGTGACCTGAACATCACAGGGTTATCCCCTTGGGCCGTGTGCAGCATGATGCAATTTCTTGGCCTGAATGTCATGCTCCCTGGGGCAGGACCTTGAGCCTGCAGCACACACTAGGCCACCTGCAGCCTCACAGGCCATGCCCTGGGTAGACAGGGATGTGCTCAACCCCAGCTCGGGTCCTCTAGTCTGCCTGGCTACCATGCTTCTCATTCTCCTGCATCTGCAGACCCTGGGTTGCCATGTGAGGTAGGGGTGGGGTGGGGCTGAGGGCGTGGCTTTGGTCCCTGGCTGTCCGGATGAAGCACCAGAGTGATGCCACAGCCCATCCCGGTGACATGCTCACCCCCAACCCCCATGTCCGGGACCCCGGTCTTGTGTGGTCCCTGATGTGGAGTCCTCAGTCCTTAAGATACATCCAGAAAGTCCTGGCCATGAATTGGGGGTGCAGAGTCCTGCAGAGCCGCTGGGCTGGGCTGGTGCCCCCAGGAGATGGAGGGTCTGGTGGATGCCCTCCTCCCTCAGAGCTGGGGCAGCTGCCTCCCAGGGGTGGGACCGTGGGCTCAGAGAGAGGCCCTTGAGCTGCAGCTCAGGGGAGTGTGAGGCTTCATGGAGTGTGTCCTGGTCCATGTGGTCCACGTGTCTCCATCTCCAAGGAGAGGCTCCTCAGTGTGCATCCCCATATCCGTCCTCTCTGCCGGCCCCCGGCGTCTGAGCAGTCATTCCCTGTCAGCACCTCTGCAGCCTGCTGGGCCTCAGGTTCGCTGTGAGGGACCTCCCCGGCCTTCCGCGGAGGTGGAGTAAGCTCCGTCAAGGCAGGTGGCTTCGTCCCTTCCTGTGAGTGACACCAGTGATGAAATGGACCCCTCCACACAGGCATCCTCAGGGCACAGGGCCCTGGGGGCACCTTCCTCCTTTCTTATTTGTTGAGAAAAAAAAGTGGCATTGGGCTCACACCAGGATGCTGGTGCAGAGCTGACATGCTCGGGAAAGGTCAGAGGTCACTGGGGGTGGGAAGGTCATCCAGTCCAGACTCAGCACCTCGTGGGCTGGTAAACTGAGGCTCAAAGTGCTGGTGCCAGGCCTAAGGCCTCGTGGTGACTGCTGTCTCTGGTTCCCAGCACCTGCCTGAGACCTGCCCCAGGCACCCATAACCTGGAATTCCGTTTCCTTGTCCAGGGCCTGAGGAAATGGCTCCCCAGGTCTGTCTCTGGAGGCTCTGAGGGAGACGGGCTTGGAGGCTCTAGGAGGAGGCAGGGATTCCAGGGTGTCAGGAAGGCAGGGGTGCCAGGTCCCACCCAGTGAAATAACAAACCGTGGGTGGCATTTCGGCCTCCCTGCCTTCCCCACTGGGTGTGCTGGTGCTGGTGCTGCTGGGTCAGGGCTGCCCGTGACCCCAGACACCACTGTCCGTCCTGTGAGGCTCCTGTCTGGGCATGTCCTGGGTGGATTCCTCCTTTCTGTTAAGTAGCTACATGAGGCAGGGGCTCCTGGATCCAAAAAAAATGACAGGAATTCCAGAGCCAGGTGCATCCACTCAGGACAGCCAGTGTTCGTGGAGCTGCCTCTCCACAAGTGAAAGTCAGCCCTCCCCTCTCATGAGAAAAGAACCTGTGGATACCTCTCAGCCTCCAGCGTTGCAAGTGCAAGGCCAGTGGAGTTAATCTGCAACGTGCATGAGGGCATGTGTCAGTGGCTGTGTGCAGGAGCGTGAGTGAGCAAGAGTGAGAGCGCATGGCTCCTGCTGTACCTCAAAGTGTGGGCTCCTGGTGGCTGCTCAGCGTTCCCAGGGGTGAGAGGCCTCATGCATCCTAGGCTGTCTATATATAGACACAGATTTTCTTCTCTGTGGTCTGGAGCGCCGCCTGGTGGTCTTGTGCTTCCCTGCAGGGAGGTTTGTGTCTGGGCTCACACTGAGGTACCCATTCTGTCTCCCACGGGAATGTGTGGCCCTGCCCTTGGCCATCACGGAGCTCAGCTGCAGGGATAACTGGGCCTTGGATGTGTCTCTGCAGATGGACAGTTGGCCCAGAAGGGTGGGCTGAAGTGTGTGCTGCCCCTGGAGCTGAGGTGCCCCAGTGCCTTCCCAGAGTGCTGCTGGGTCCAGGCCCAGAGGTCTGTGAGGACCTCACCAGCCCTGGGCATGACTCTAGTAGCTGCACTTGATGCAGGACACTCAGGGCCAAGAAGCAAAGACATGAGTCGCAAACGGACACCACAGCCCACAGCCCCAGTTCTGAAATCTCTGAGACACTCACATGGAAGTATAGCCATCAGGCAGAGGACGACGCAGAGAGATCTCATATTTTCCTCAACAAGGGGCACGACTTTCCCAGTGGCCTCTCCAGGACAGAACAAGAAAAAATAACTGGCTCTCTCTAGCCTGAGGTTGCATTTCGCCGAGTCTCTGGGATGGAAATGTGTCTTGTGTCTTCAGGAGTCTGCAGGGCAGCCGCTGCTGTGACTCAGGTAGAAACTTCTCTCCCCTGATGTCCTGGCCCCTTGTTATCCCTGCCACGGTGGAATCAGACTGGGCACCGCTTTAGGGAGAAACGGAGGACATGGAGTGAGGGCTGGTTAGTGGAGACTATTGAAAGGAGTCAAAACTCTCCAGGGGAAGAGACGCCTCCAGGAACCCTTGGCATTGTTTTCTTCACTTCGCAGGAGTAGGAAGGAGCTGAGAGTCTAGAGAGAGCCTCAGATGCACAACCCTAATTTGGCATATCAGGGAGCAATCTCATCAGCCCAGGAGAAGGCCCAGGAGAAGGGTCAGCTCTTTGTGCCTCTGCAGAGAAGCGGCAGGGACTGGGAGGGCTTTTTCCCTGCCCAGCAGGTGGTGCTGCCTCCTTGTTCCCTGCTTGGCACAGCCTCGGGGTGCAGCTGCTGGCTTTCCCAGGGCCTGTGGAGAGCGTCTTCTTGGTACTTCCTTAACGTCAAATAAAGTGAACGCCTTCTCAATGCACATCTTAATTCATCATTGGAAAGGCCAAAACACACACACACACACACACCCCTATATTTTTTTCTGACAAGAGCTAGAGACAATTGATAAGTATGTTATCTGACTATAGCTCACCTTAAGGAGGAAAAAACTATTAAGAAATTTCTTAAGTGTAAATTGTGCCTAATCATGTGTAAATTAGTAACAGAAGCAAAAAATAATAACTGCAGTCAACTTATACACTTTAAAAGAATACTCTGTGAAACAATGACATGTTATCAAAAAAGGGATACTTAATTTGTTATGTGTGGTGACGGTCAATGAGCAGACTTGTGTTCTTGCTGGAGAAGTCACAGCATCCCCACAGGTGGACTTCCTGCAGCAATCTTGCATGCCTCACACTTCTGTCCAAAGCACGTAAGGGAGGAGCTCAGTGCGCACAGGAACCTGACGCCTGCCAC